>NC_000009.12:104735703-104887218 GCF_000001405.40 Homo sapiens
TGGGATTACAGGCGTGAGCCCAAAAATGTCTTTTAAATGTGGAAATTAAAGACATACTTTTAAATAATTCACAAGTAAAAAAGATCATGATAGACATTTCAAAATATGTATAACTTGATGATAACAATTACCATAAAAAATTGTGAGATAAACAAATAATACAGTTAAACACATACATTAGAAAATAAGAGAGATTAAAAATTAATACACTAAGAATCTGACTCAGAAAAAAAGGAAATGGCCTAACATAGTACTGGAAGTCCTAGCCAGAGCAATCAGACAAGAGAAATCAGAAAGGAATCCAAATCAGTAAAGAGGAAGTCAAACTGCTGCTGTTCACTAATGTGATCGTATATCTAGAAAAACTCTAAGGACTCATCCAAAAAGCTCACAGATCTGATAAATGAATTCAGTAAAGTTTCAGGATACAAAATAAATGTACACAAATCAGTAGCATGCTATACACCAACAGCAACCAAGCTGAGAAACAAATCAAGAACTCCATACCTTTTACAACAGTTACAAAAAAAAAAAAAGAAAGAAAGAAAATACTTAGAAATATACCTAACCAAGGAGGTGAAAGATCTCTACAAGGAAAACTACAAAACACTGCTAAAAGAAATCATCAACAACACAAACAAACTGAAACACAACCCATGCTCATGGATGGGAAGAATCAATATTGTGAAAATGACCATACTGCCAAAAGCAATCTACAGATTCAATGCAATTCCCATCAAAGTACTACTATCATTCTTCACAGATCTGGAAAAAACCATCTTAAAATTCATATGGAACCATAAAAGAACCTGCATAGCCAAAGCAAGAGTAAACAAAAAGAACAAATCTGGAGGCATCACATTACCCAATTTCAAACTATACTATTATACAAGGCTATAGTTACCAAAACAGCATGGTACTGGTATAAAAATAGGCATGTAGGCCAATGGAACATAATAGACAACCCAGAAATAAAGCCAATTATTTACAACTAACTGATATTTAACAAAGCAAACAAAAACATAAAGTGGGGAAAGGACACCCTATTCAACAAATGGTGCTGGGATAATCAGCAAGCCACACGTAGAAGAATACAATGGGATCCTCATCTCTCACCTTATATAAAAATCAACTCAAGTTGGATCAAAGACTTAAATCTAAGACCTGAAACCACAGAAATTCTAGAAGTTAACATTGGTAAAACTCTTCTAGACACTGGATTAGGGAAAGAGCTCATGACCAAGAACCCAAAAGCAAATGCAACAAAAACAAAAATAAATAGATGGGGCCTAATTAAACTAAAAAGCTTCTGCACAGCAAAAGAAATAATCAGCAGAGTAAACAGACAACCCACAGAATGGGAGAAAATATTCATGAACTATGCATCCAACAAAGGACTATCCAGAATCTACAAAGAACTCAAACAAATCAGCAAGAAAAACAAACAATTCCATCAAAAAGTGGGCAAAGGACATGAATAGACAATTCTCAAAAGAAGAAACACAAATGGCCAACAAGCAATAGTTAAAACATGGAAGCAACTCAGTGTCCATTGATGAATGAATGGATATGCAAAATGTGGTATATACATAAATAAAATATTATTCAGCCTTAAAAAGGAAGCAAATTCTAACACATGCTATAACATGGTAAAGCACTGAGGACATCATATTGAATAAGCCAGTCACAAAAAGATAAATACTGTATGATTCCACTAATATGAGGTAGTTAGAGTCATCAAAATCATAGATACAGAAAGTAGAAGGGTAGTTGCCAGTGGCTGGGGGAAGGGGAGAATGGGGAATTATTATTTAATGGGCACGGAGTTTCAGTTTTACAAGATGAAAAGAGTTATGAAGGCTGGATGTGGTGGCTCACACCTATAATCCCAGCACTTTGGGAGGCCAAGGCAGGTGGATCACCTGAGGTCAGGAGTTTAAGACCAGCCTGGCCAAGATGGTGAAACCCCGTCTCTGTAAAAATACAAAAATTAGCCGGGCATGATGACGGGTGCCTGTAATCCCAGCTACTCAGAAGGCTGAAGCAAGAGAGTAGCTTGAACTCAGGAAGTAGAGGTAGCAGTGAGCCAAGATGGTGCCACTGCACTCCAGCCTGGGTGACAGCTCAAAAAAAAAAAAAAAAAGAAAGAAAAGAGTTCTGGAGATGGATGGTGGTGATGCTTGCACAACATTATGAATATATTTAATACCACTGAACTGTACACTTAAAAATGGTTAAGATGGTAAATTGTATGTTATCTGTATTTTACCATAATAAAATATATTTTATATATATATATATATATATTTTTTTATTTACCAGGCCCAAATAATTTCCCTGGATAATTCTAACACATTTTCCAAGAACAGGTAACCCCTGATATATAAATTGGTTCATAAAATATTTAAAAAGGGAATGGGAAGCTCCCCCAACTCTTTTTGTAAGCCTGTATGTACAGCCCTGAAACAAAAACTGAACAGGGAAAATATGAGAAAGGAAAACTTAAGAGCCAATCTCACTTATAAACATAGACAGGAAAATATAAAATACTAGCAAACAGAATCTAGCAATGTAGAAAATAATAATACCTAACTTTCGGGTAAGGTTTATTCAAACGATGCAAGGAAGTCATAACATTGAAAATATTTTAATGTAATTCACTATAATTTCAATTAACAGATTTTAAAAATTATCATTTCATTAAATGCAAAAGATCTTTTGATAAAATTTAATAGGCACTCATAATTTAAAATAAATAACTTAGCAAACTACAAACAAGCAAACTTTTAAAACTGATATAAGGGGTATTTATCAAAACTTACAATTGACAAATCCCCTTTAAGTTTACAAACAAGATAAGAATGCTGGCTTTCACTTTTTTATCCCCCGCAGAGAAACGGTCTTGCTCTGTCACCAAGGCTGGACTACAGTGGAGTGATCCTGCCTCATTGTAACCTTGACCTCCTGGGCTCAAGTGATCCTCCCACCTTAGTCTCTTGAGTAGCTATGAAGTACATGCTAATTTTTTGTTTGTTTGTTTGTTTGTTTTTGAGACAGGGTTCTCTCTGTGTTGCCCAGGCTGGTCTTCAACTCCTGGCCTCAAGTGGTCGTCCCCCTCTGGCCTCTCAAAGGGCTGGAATTAGAAGTCTGAGCCACTGTGCCAGGCCTGTTTTCACCTCTTATAGTCAACATTGCACAGAGGTCCTATGTACGACAATAAAGAGAGAAGGGGGCAGTGGGAGAAATAAAAATCGGGAAGGGAAAGAGGAAAGAGGGGAGAAAGAAAAAGAGAAAAATGGGAAGAAAGGAAGGAAAGAAGGAAGGGCAGGAGGGATAAAGGAAGGAAAAGGAGTCGTAAAGATTGAAAAGGGAGAAACAAAATTGTCATTATTGCCTAAAAATAAGATTATCTCTGTAGGAAGTCAGAAAAAAATCCATTAGAAAATCTTAAAATGTAAACTACTAAAAGGCTTTAGCAAGGCTGCCAACCACAAGATCAACTCAATAGTATTTTCTGCAGGAAACACAACTGGTTAGAGAATATACTTTGAAGTGCATCTCATGACATCACAAAAACTATAAAATGCCAATGAATAAAAACTGCATAAGGAATTTTTGAGGAAAAATATAAATCGTCATTAAAGCACACAGAAAAACCTCCCAAAAACTGGGGACACAAATTTTGTTCATGTTAGGAAATTCAAGAATAAATATATGAATTTATTCAGAATTTCTCTGTAAATCTAATATAATTTCCATCAAAATGATACTGAGATTTTTTTTAGTTTCTCAAACTTATCCAAAAATTCATACTGAATAGCAAAGACAAAGAATAGCCAAGACAATGTTATAATAAGAAATGTATATTTACTATACAAAATGTCAAGATGGATAATAAAGCTACAGTAATTCAAATTGCTTAGTACTGATACAGGTAAAGACAAATTAATCAATGGAACAGATTAGAAGGATCCAGAAATAGCCTAGGCATCTGTGGAAGTTTATATCCCAAGTGAATGGTCTTTGATTTATAATGGCATTACAAATCGGTAGGGAACAAATGAACTATTTAATAAACTGTTCTTTGGTAATGGACTACTAATATTGAAAAAAAGATCAAATTAAATCTACACCTCATACTGTGACTAAAATAAACTTGAGAGAGATTAAATACCTAAAGGGCAAAAGCAAAACTGTAAAAATATCTACAGGAAAATATACAAGAATATCATCATGCACAAGGAAAAAGAAAGTATACCTTAAATAGGGGGAAAAGCACAAAAACATGAGACCAATAATTTAAATTTAGAAACACCTATATGGCAAAATACTCTTAGAAAGTTTAAATAATAGCTACAAATGGGAGAACATATCAGTAAAACATACATCCAAAAAAAAGATTAGTCTGGAAGTTTTTGTTTTGTTTGTTTTGAGATGGAGTCTTGCTCTGTCGCCCAGGCTGGAGTGCAGTGGCACAATCTCTGCTCACTGCAACCTCTGCCGCCCAGGGTTCAAGCGATTCTCCTGCCTCAGCCTCCCAAGTAGCTGGGATTACAGGCATGTGCCACCATGCCCAGCTAATTTTTTTGTATTTTTAGTAGAGACAGGGTTTCAGCATCTTGGCCAGGCTGGTCTTGACCTCCTGACCTCATGATCCACCTGTCTCGGCCTCCCATCACTTTTGGGTGATGGGATTACAGGCATGAGCCACCACGCCCGGCCGGAATATATATATATATTTTTTAAAGCATTCAAACCAAGCCAGGCATGGTTGTGCACCTCTAATCCCAGCCACACCTTGCGAGGCTGAGGGGACAGGATTGCAACATTCAAATCAATATGAAAAAGATGAACAACAAAATAAAAAATTGGGCCAAGAATATAAACAGGGACCTCAACAAAAGAAAAACAACATGGCCTATAAAATTATGAAAAGATTCTCAATTCACAAGAAATCAGAGCAATATAAATGAAATCAATGAAACATTTTTCATCCATAAGATATGCAAATATTAAAGTCTTACAAGAATTGCAAGAATGTGCAGGAAGAGGAAATACGATTCACTGCCTGGGAGCATAAATGGCTATGGTGAACCAAAAATTGTAAAGTTGACTCATTAATTCCACTTACAGGGATGTGCCTAAGGACATATCTACAAAATTACTCATTGAAGCATTATTTATAAACCTGGGAATATTTAAGTATCAAAAGAGAAAGAGGAACAAAGTTACAATATGCTCAAATATTGGATTGTAAGAGAGCAATTAAAATGAGCCAACCAGCTCTAAATGGCTTATTTTGTTACCTTTGGCAAACCACCTAACTTCTTTAAGCTTCCTCTTTGCTGTGTGTTTTAGTCTAAAATGTAAATATCAGCTTTACAGAGTGAAATGAAAGTAAGAAAGGACTTAAGTAAAAGGTATACTACATAACAGCATGTAAGAAATATCAGAAATAATAAAATCTGATGACCCCTTGTCGGTAAATAGGCATCACTGACATTCTCTGAGAAAAAAAGGGATGAGAACCGAACAAGTGATCTGAGATTAAGTAAATATTTCTTAAAACCTTTAAAAAATGAAAGGGCAGCCAAGTAGGTATGAGAACTAACCAAAGAGGGTTCAGTTCTCAATAAACAGGTAATTATAAAGGAGACTTTAGTAATATAAATTAACAAATATGCTTCATTCCAAAAACAAAGAAGAGAAAACAAACAAAAAACAACAAAGAGGCAAAGGACCAAATGTTTTTGTTTGTTTTTGAAACTCTCACCCAGGCTGGAGTGCAGTGGTGCATACTTGGGCCACTGCAACCTCCACCTCCTGGGTTCAAGCACTTCTCCTGCTTCAGCCTCCCAAGTAGCTGGGATTACAGGTGCCTGCCACCACACCTGGCTAATTTTTGTATTTTTAGTGGAGACACAAGGTTTCACCATGTTGGCCAGGCTAGTCTTGAACTCCTGACCTCAAGTGATCTGCCAGTCTGCCTCCCAAAGTGCTGGGATTACAGGCGTGAGCCACAGCACCTGGCAAGACCAACTGATTTTTAATAAAAAATAATATGAAACAGGACTTATACTGAAGTACCCTCTAAAGTTATGACTTTTATTAACTTTCTTCCCAGTTTTTATTTTGTGCTAAGTGGAAGCTTCAGATGACTCCAAGGGAGTATGAAAATTGGGAAACTTTTTTTTTTTTTTTTTTTGAGACGGAGTCTCGCTCTGTCGCCCAGGCTGGAGTACAGTGGCCTCATCTCGGCTCATTGCAAGCTCCGCCTCCCGGGTGCACGCCATTCTCCTGCCTCAGCCTCCGGAGTAGCTGGGACTACAGGCACCTGCCACCATGCCCGGCTAATTTTTTGTATTTTTAGTAGAGACGGGGTTTCACCGTGTTAGCCAGGATGGTCTCGATCTCCTAACCTCGTGATCCGCCTGTCTCGGCCTCCCAAGGTGCTGGGATTAAAGGCGTGAGCCACCGCGCCCGGCGGGAAATGTATTTTTTTAATACTCAGTATCTTTATATGAGAAGAAAATAATTTTGGATATGAAGGCAACTTCTAATAGCACTATTAAGCTATCATGAAAAGACAACTTAGAATGTTTTTCAGAGGGAATATTAATCTGAGAAGTTCTAATTTCCCATAAACTATTTCTGTTAACCTTCAAAAGCGATAGTGAGGCATTTGAACTTAGTTCAGAAAGAATGTGTCGAAAATCCTAGGCAGTATCGTGAAACACCTAATAAAGACCAAAAGAGGCAATAGGCCCCTTTTGGTTGGACACAGCCTACTTGCCCCTTGCATTAAAGTTCTAGCTCTCAATACAACATTGAGAATAAATAAAATACAACAAACTTAAAGATGCTATAAAAACAATCAATGAGAGTCAAGTAAATCTAACTCAGATTAGAAAGTTAATCAATTACCCAGCTAGTAGGTACCTGGGACAACTTGTGGAGGTAAAGAAAACACTGGCGAGCATCGAATAATGAGTGTTCATTTGGAAGGGGAACTTAATGAAAAAAAATATGTACTAACAAAGTGTGTAAGTGCTTAAAGCTAGAAGATATCTCGACTTAAACACCTAGTAAAAAAAAAAACGAGCCATATTTAATAAGAAAAATCTGAAACAAATAGCAAAAGGTTCAGAAATATTTGTCTAATAAAATTTCTCCCCGACTCCAGTTGTGAGGCACAGGGATTATTCAGAGCGAAAGATTTGCAAAGCCTATTTTGGGAAATAATTGTATTCACTGATATCAGGATTTAAAATGTCATTAGCACTAAAATTCATTTTCCAATGGAAAACGTAAAAGTCAATTTTTATATCTAAAAAGAGGTAATGGATATATAAACATGTTTATGTGTTTTAGAAATAAAAATACTTCATTAATAGAAAAAAATTAAATACATTTCTAGTATACTTAAATATTTAGCTATTCACAAGTCTTTACTGCTTTACTCCAAGAACTCTAGCTGAAAAGAGACTAATACAGAAATATCAAGACATGCTGACCACCTCAGAAAGAAGCATGCAGTGGTGGTTTTTTCTTTTTTCTTCATTAAGGCATTTAATTCAATGTTCAACATACAACAGGTGCTTAACAAATATTTGGTGATATCAGTAGGTCTCTTTTTAAAGAAAACTGAATAAAAAATGATTTTTTTAATTATTAACCCGCCTTATTATTACTAGTAACCTGCCTTTACAGAAGTTTTTCTTCTATACATAATCCAGTATCACACACAAAAAAAACTGTAAGTTAAGTCTACTCTATAAATACCTATAACTTACATTACAGGAACTCAAAAATAACAGAAATAGACATATGCACACACTAACACCGAATGAAGGAAAAGTGAGTCTATGCCACCATCTAGTGGCTGCAGAATAATAAAGCACCCAAACAAGAAAGTACCCAGGGATGTAGTACCAGAATATAAGCATCTAGAATTTACATGTAGAGCTACTGCCCTCCTATTCAGTTGGGCCAGCACTGGCATTACCTGGCCTATTCAGTTGGGCCAGAATTGGGTCTACCTGCTCGCTTCTGCATAAGTCTGACCTTCGAAAAAAACCAAGCGGGAACACCATCAAGTTTCCTTTGCTCACCTCATACAATTCCCACCACATTTCAACGGATACCTATTTGTTATGAAAGGTATAAAAATGCATCTTCACATTCGTCAGACCAGATGGGCAATAATAAAAAATTGGTCAGGAAAACCTCATACATTGCTATTAAACAGTCTGGCACTACTTAGTAAAGATGAATATGTACATAACTTATGACCGAGCAATTCCACTCCTGGGTATGTAATCCAGAGTAGTGGTTTGTAATTTCCAGTACACAGATCCTGAGTGAATCTATAGATAGAATTCAGAGGGTCTGATAAGTTGGATGAATAACAATTCCATCTTTATTGGCAACAACTTCTAACTAAAATTAACCATTTCCTTTATGAAGGTAGGCAACAAACCACAATATTAGCAGGACCTGTGACTTTGTAACCAATAAATATTATAGACAATGTCAAATTCCATTTATAGTTGTTGTAAATACATAAAAATTTCTTCCACACTTATCACTACTTCAAAATTACATCTTTTACACCCACTATTAGATATTGTTTTTTAGTGCCCTAATAAAGAAGCATCTCTATTTCTTTTTAAAAAGTTTTTTATATTTCATTATTCTAGTTCATTTTTTTCATATTTGATTTTGTATTTTGATTATTCTAGTTCACTTTTTTCACTGTATTTGTTTTCTTTGCAACCCTATGTATTTGTTATACATTTAAAAACATTTGGGATCCACAGGCTCACAAGATTTTGAAAGGATTTTAAGACACAAAAAAAGGTTAGTAATACCTGCCCTAGAGAAATTCTTCTGGCGGAACCAGGAGACATCTACAAATAAATTCAAACAGCTTTGTTTATAATAGTCAGATGGACAAAAAAACAAGGTATTTTCATGTAATAGAATAGCATACTAAAGGGATGTGAATTAATTATTACAACTGCATTAATGTGGTTGATTTGCAAAAGCCTAAAGTTATAGCTAACAGTTATGTAACAAAATAATAAAATTAGTTAATAAACAATCTAAAACAGGCAAACCAAAGCAATATACTCTTTAGAGTTATATACAAATGTAGTTGAATTATTTCAGAAAAATCAATGTAATAACACAAAATTTGGGATCATGGTTACTTGAGGGAATTGGAGGAGAGGGTTGTAAGAAGAATGTGACCAGGAATGAACATGTATTGAGCTTCTGAGTTGCTGGCAATACCCTTTTGCTTAAGCCTTGTGGCAAGAGCACAGACATTCACTTTATTATTCTTCTTTAAAGTGTACAGATATCTCATATACACTTTCATACCTATAATAAATGTTTGATATTACCTTCTTAGATAGGTCATCTCTGTCTATCCAATCCAAAATAACTACCCAGTTACTCTATATCATACGAGCCTATTTTAATAATCTAGTTTTTTGATAGGATTTTTCTAGCTTTGAACTGTCTATCCTTTGGACTATTTGTCAGAATTTCAGGATATGCAACAATAATTTTCAAAATATTTATCCTATACATTTTCCAGGCAGTTTAGGGATATGCTTTTTAAAATAGCCACAGAACAATATTACATTTTAAATTCTGTCTAAAAGCTACTTTCCACTGCAAATCTAAAATTACCTTAATAATCACATATCTTTTAAAAATAAATGGTAAACTGAACTGGTTTTACAATTGGGCTTCAAAGTCTGTGCCACTTCGTAGCAATGAAACTGAGAAAATTCTCTTTTCAGACTTCACCTTTCTCACTTAAAAAACGGAGATAAAGCTTAACTCACAGTATTTGAGGATATTTAAAACCTGTGAGAAAGAGAATAGGAGAATATTTTAGCTACTTAGAAGCACTTAACAATGTTTAGCCATCTCTCAATTGTAGCCATGAATTTTGCCCCTATCTGTATTTTCCTCTTGGAAATTCCTCTTGGAAGTTCCCTGTATCTTTCTGCTGGATGGATGCAGTTAATGATGAGACTAGGGAATGGCAAAGCCACCGGGTAGAAGCCTGGCTCCCTAATTCACTAAGTATAGAAGAGCTACCTGCCAACTAGAAAAACCCACTTTGTATTCTTATAAAAAATAAACTCCTATAGTGTTTGAGTAATAATACACTTTTTTGAGTGTTGATTTACAAGAGCTATTTAATCTACCCTAATTAATATATTATTGAAAGATACTACCAAATGCTGAGTGTTCTGGCCTTCTTCCCTCCTCAGCCTCAGGAAACTGGCAGCAAGGCTTTTCTCACACAGATAAGATACTGGAAGTTTCCCTTCCCTAACACTGACTACACAGATAAATAACTTGCAGATAACAGTTTGGGGGGAGGGGATACAGCCTTCAGTGAAATACCCAGGTCAGATCACCTCACAGTGAAGCCCACTATTTGAAGAGATTCACCTGTGCTTACAGTGCTTTTAACATGTTTTTCTCACTCCAAAATATATTTTTAATGTAAACATCAATAAACGCAGGAAGGAAAGTGTATTTTGAGGGAGTGGTATGAAGAAACCTAAATCCTAAATATCCAAGTCAATAGCTAGAATCCTGACCACTTTTAGAATTCCACTAGCACCTTTATTCGTATCTTACTTTATTTTTCTTTATATTATTTGACAATCCCTGATATATTTACTCTTCCTTTTTTTATCTGTTTCCTCCATCCTGGATGTTCCAAGAGGACGGGACTTTGAATTTTGCTCAATTCTGTACCCCAGTTTCTGGAAAAGTGCCTGGAACATGGAAGGAATTTAGTAAATATCTGTTGAATAAGTAAATGGATTGGCAATTACAGGGTTTAAAAAAAAAGGTCTAAGAAAATAATTTACTCATATAGATCCAGTCCTGATACAAATGATTTTTTTAGTCTTGCATGGTTACAAATAGATGTCTCTCTTCTAGAAAAACTGAGGCAACCCTTCCGAAATAACTAATTTTAAAAAGTCTCCCTTCCTTTGAACAGACAATTCCAAAGCTCTTCCACAAGGCACAACCAATACAACCCAGGTCATGGCCCTGCAATCCCTCCCTAGTCCTCATGATGTAAGCAATATTACATTAATGTTTACAATAATGTAATTATTAGCAAGAATAATGTAAACATTAATATAGATTACTGTAAATTAATAGTGTAATTAATTACTGTAAATTAACATAAGCATTATTAGATGCAGGAAGACAAGTGAATTTGGGGGCAGTGGCATCTATGAGACATAAATCCTCATCTGCCACAGAAGGAAGTCAACACATACTATCCATAACTGAAAATGCAATAAACAGCAGAAAACACTACTTACTTAAAAATACAGAAACAAGCATTAAATGAAACAGCTTGAAATGTTGAAGGTGGTTACTCTGGGAACCAACACTCCCGGACTGGGAGGACTAGACCAGGGTATGTTTAACTTTGACTTTTTCATTTCAGGCTCGATGCTGCCATTTCTCTGAGCTCGTGGAAAATTTAATCTAAATCTTAATTAGGAGCCTTCTAAGATGGAGAACACATTCATTGCAGAGAGGTCAGGCTCAAATACACGTCTATCACAACATCTAAAACTTAACTCGGAAAAAACCTCCACGATTTTAAATACAAAGCACTGCACATGCACGCACTCAACACCTCTCCTTCTTTCCCCATGGTCAACACACCCACAACCCCTGCACATTTACCAATCTACACAACTGAGCACTGGAGCGAATGAGGTGAGTGAGGGCCCAGAAAGTTGAAGCAGGAACGATCCGAGCCTTCAGTTAATCCTAACGTCACCTCTAACGTTTGGGGTAAGAACGTTTCAGGAAACCAAGGGGGAACCAACGCTCAGCACAGCAGAGAAAGACACCAAGCTACGGGACCCGCCGCGCCTCCCGCGCCGGGGTGGAGCTGACCCCGCCGAGCCCCGCCCCAGCCTGCGTCTGCCAATGATCCAGGAGCCGCTCCTTTCCACTCGGGAAACCTTCAGAGGAGTCTCAGAAAGGACACGGCTGGCTGCTTTTCTCAGCGCCGAAGCCGCGCCATGCTCGTCCTCAGAAGCGCCCTGACTCGGGCGCTGGCCTCACGGACGCTGGCGCCTCAGGTACCGGCCACGGGGGTACCCAAGCCTTCACCCGACGGGAGGGGAGGGGCGGGGCGGGGAGTGTTCCGGGTACGTGCGAGCAATGCGCATGCGCTCTCCGCCACGCGCGCCCAGACCTGGGGCCCCGGTGAGGTTCTAGCGTGAGCCCCGGAACCCCAAGACAGGGGTACCCGGAACGCGCGTGAGGAGGAGGCCGCTGCTAGGGGAATACCCCCAGCCGGGGTCGTCTCGCGGGCAGTGGTGGTCAGAAGGCTTTTCTAGCCTGGATGCCACACCCACCGGGACACTCCCATGGCGCCGGCTGTTTCGTTTTTGCTGCCCAGCTATGTCGCGGCTGCGGCCCAGCGAGCGCTCCCATGTTGTCACCTGGCGCTGTGGAGCCGCGGGTGGAGTCGTAGCTTTCCAAGCCACCGCCCTCTCTAGACATCAGGTTGAAGGAGGGAATTGTCAACCAGCCGCTTGCCACGGAACCGGCCTCCCCCTTTTAAATGAAGCACACAACTTCCGAGCATTTCGCGGAGACCCTTGAAGAGGAGGCCCAGGGTCCCGGTGGGGCTGGACCCTGCCCGCCACCCGCGCTTCGTGTGGTCGCTCCCCCAACCAGGCGGGACCGGAGCCTCCTATCAAACCGGACGATGACAGACAGACTCTTTTAACCTTAGATGAGAAATGGACAAAATGGAGCTTGTGATTCTGCCCTAACTTTCGGGAGTGGCCTATTCTGTGGCTTCAACCTAGAAATTTCTTTTCCTTTTGATGTTTAGGACTTTACTCCTTTCTGAAGGGGCAGGATGGGAAGGGGATTAACCTGTCCTAGAGACAGACTGAGGAGCACTAAAGAAGAGCAGCTCATGTCCATTCACCCCGGGTTAACAATGCAGTTTTTACCCTAATGATTCTCCAGTGGGGCAGGGCCAGGAATGACGTCCTTATGGCATGATTCCAAACTTTAAGTTTTTAGAAATGTCCATCAGTTGTTCTCTTTTAAGTGAAGTGGAGGTCGTTGCTGGTGGGAATGATCCCTAACTTGGAGATAAGGGAGGATGGACGACTCATGATTTCTGCCCTAGCAGCTAAAAGTCATCCCTGCAACAAAATTCTTAACTCCCATCCGGCTCCCCCACCATACCCGGCTCCCCTGCAGTCTTCCTTCTCTGGCACCACCTGTCCACATCTCTCTCCCTCTCTCACTGTAGGTTCCCTACTGTATATTAATACTGCCCAAAATTGTAAAAATGTGTACCTTTGATCAACTATTTTATCCTCCAAATACAAATTCCTCGAATCAACCTGAAATCCATTTGTCACAAATGCCCCATTGGCCTATCTCCTGATATATTTTATTATAATAATTTTGAAATTATGGATACTAGGCACTTGCTTCTTGACCAACATTGTTACTAGAGTTTGGTTTAAAAGCACAAAAAGAGTGTCCACAAAAGGCAGGGGCAGCTGCAGCTGTTTTTGTTGGTAGGCTTAGTCATTTGAGCAATAAGAATATAAGTCACACACGAATAGAATTAACTCTAGATAATTATCATTAAGCCTTATCATACACAGTTACATAATTTTGTATTTTGTAAACAAAAATATGTCGGAGCAAAAGCCTACTGCTTTCAGACAGACATACTGGCTAGTCAGTATAAGCCCTAATTTGTCCATAGCTTTGTAGGTATCAAAACTGTCTTCACAGATTATTCTGGTGTAATCAACTTAAGGAAATGGCACATGCTATTCAAACTTAAGTAAGATGGATTTATAAGAATATCACGAATGCCTGTGTGTATACCATGAGTGCATATATATATGTGTGTGTGCGTATGTGTGTGTGTATGTGTATACATATATACACATAGATACCTACATAGAGGATAATCTTAGGCGAGGTATTTCTTACAGAAAGTTCAACCAGAACACAAATTAGAAATTTACAGTGCGTGTATGACTATTACAAAAGGAATTAATGGTTCTTAAGTGATATTTTCATCAATGTGGTATAAGTGGATTCATTAAATGTTGTTCACATTGCATCTGTAATTAGAAACTAATAAGAAAATTTTGACTCTGAATTTTCTTTTCTCAGCATTCATGTTCTACCATTATATTACAATGCAATTGGATAGGTCAGAGCTTTTTATTGCATTAGTTACATTCCAGTCCTAATTTTGGTCAGTGGTTTACTTCATTGAATTAGGAAATACTTTGACCTGAACTGTAATTTCCATTTTTTTCAAGAACCTAAAAGAGTTTTCTTCTAGTAAACATTTTTTTCATTATGCCTGCCAAAAGTTACGTGCGTAGTTAATAAAGTTCTTTGATGTGCATAACTGTAACACGTATGCTCTTGACTAAAGATGCAATATTGGCTAATAGGAAAACTTTTGTAAATTTGTTAGAATCCTAATTGTAGTTCTTGGATAAAGAAGTATCATTAAGATCTCAGCGCCTTCTTATGAGCAATTTCTGAAAAAGTGGCTAAAGGTGACAGTGAACCCCCACTAGGAAACAGTAACTACACACTCAGCATATTTAAGAGTAGTTGTCTTTATTGACACCTCTATGTAAACAAATGTATATGTGAAGCAGGAGAATAGGGTCTTGAGGCAGGGAACCTAAGGACTTCCTAGAACTAAATCAAACCCTTCAGCTATGACAAGAAATACCCTCTTCATTTACATAGGGTGTACACAGAGTAAATGACTTTGCAACTTTACTTCATCCTCTTCATTTATATACGGCTTACACCACATAGCCAATGGGACACCTCTAGAGGGTACTGAAACCCTAGAAAATTCTGTAACCAGGGCCCTTGAGCCACTTGCTCAGGCCCACTCCTACCCTGTGGAGTGTGCTTTCATTTTCAATAGATCTCTGCTTTTGTTACTTCATTCTTTCCTTGCTTTGTGCATTTTGTCCAGTTCTTTGTTCAAACACCAAGAACCTGGACACCCTCCATCAGTAACATATTGAGAATTGACAACAGAAGTACAAACATGAGTAATGAGTCTATGAGTGTCCCTTGTACCAGATTCAGATTAGGTTTTAACACAATATAATGAATCCTGTCTTCTCAAGATATTTACATTTGTCTTATCTTCTTCAGATGTGCTCATCTTTTGCTACGGGACCCAGACAATACGATGGAATATTCTATGAATTTCGTTCTTATTACCTTAAGCCCTCAAAGATGAATGAGTTCCTGGAAAATTTTGAGAAAAACGCTCATCTTCGGACAGCTCACTCTGAATTGGTTGGATACTGGAGTGTAGAATTTGGAGGCAGAATGAATACAGTGTTTCATATTTGGAAGTATGGTAAAGAGTCATCCAATTTTGGCTTTCAGTATAGATTTTCATTTTTCAGTATAGATTTTCATTCTGTTAAATGTAACATAAAACTTAGTTCTTGGATGTATATTATTTTAGATACATACAGGTTAACTAAGACTTTTGAAAAGCAATACCAAAAAAATAAATTCAGTTCTTATTCTTCCCAGTGGTACACCTCTAACCCCTTGCTTAAACATTACATTATATTACATTATAAATTGGAAGACATGGCATCTCATATATCAAGCGATAAAATTGTGAACTAGACTTTAAACCTCAGAAAAATATTAAAATGGTTTGCTGTAAAGATAGTTCATGAAAAATTTAAAGCAGCAATTGTAAAAGTCCAAGTGGATTAAGATCACAAAAGGAAAGGAGAAGTATCTTTTCTCTTTTTGAAGCTAGGGGGCTGGATATCAGTATTTTAGCAGAAATAATTCAACCATTTAAGGGACTTCACAATATGGAGGTTTATAGGGGATGATGGTTAACTTTCAATCCTCACTGAACTCTGAGATTTAATAATTCTGTTATGTTTAGAGACCACATTTGTTTCATATCTGTACCCCCAGAGTTTTGAGGAATTCACTGTCATACTACTCTAGGGAGGTAAAAGAAAAGGAATGAAAGAGAGTTCTTCCCGTGTTGAAACTAACCTACGCCTGGTTTAGTAGAGGAAGGAGAATAAGTTACAAGAATGCCCAGAATGCTTGTTACTCCAGTGTCTACATCAGGACTTGATGATACCTAAAGAATTTTTAATAATTTCATTTAGTGTTTGGTTTAGGGTTTTTCCCTGTTAATAGAAAAAGCCCCATTAAAATACATTTTATGCTTTAGATGTGGTACAAGTTGTATCACAGCCCATTAAAAAAACTAAGTTCTGATATACCTCACTTAAGTTGTAAGATAGGTATTCTTCCTTATCCCAATGTAAACCATATGAACCTCTCTTGCCATTAGTCTTATGAGGTCCTAATGGTAATTATAGTACTAGGCCCATATGTTGGCAAATGTATATAACTGTTTGGGTAACTTAAATAGAAGAGAAATAAGTGCTGGGGAGAAAGAATGGATGACAATAAGAGAATCAGCATTATTTCTTTGAAATCTGTTTGTTCAAAGGAGAAGAGGCTTAAAAAGTACGGTTTAACTTCACTCATGTTAAATTTGATTCAAGATGTTTTAACTTCACTCATGTTAAATTTGATTCAGGGTGTATCTGAACTTGACTACCCACCACCACCAAAGAAAAACAGTCTTTCTCTAAACTAGCACTATAAGTTAAATGCCTCAATCAAGTAAGAATAGTTCACATATACTGAGTATTAACTAGTGCCAACCGCTATATTCTAAACTCTTTTCATGTGTTAATTTAATCCTCATACAACCCTGGAGGTAGATGTCTTATTATCTCAATTTCACAGAAAGTGAGGCACAGAAAGATTCAATAACTTACCTAATTCACAAAACTGCCTACTATATGGTTGAGCCTATAAAGCCTATTATGTGGCATTACAGTTAGTTTGCATTTCTACTGCCCTTTTTGTCCTTGAGCAACTTCAGGGCAGATGGTCACATCTGTTTACGTTGGTGTCTCCAAAGGCCTAACACAAGGTTCTTATATGGCATCAATGACCATTGCTGATGTGAATGAAACCCAGAAAAGTACAGGTGATTTAAAATTGAATTTTTTATTTTTCTTAATTCTTTTCTTCCCACAGATAATTTTGCTCATCGAACTGAAGTTCGGAAAGCCTTGGCCAAAGATAAGGAATGGCAAGAACAATTCCTCATTCCAAATTTGGCTCTCATTGATAAACAAGAGAGTGAGATTACTTATCTGGTACCATGGTGCAAATTAGAAAAACCTCCAAAAGAAGGTAAGTCCTTCCTTCTTAGTCACTGAGTTTTGATGAATAAAATACTAAAGAACTTAAGTGATCAAAACTGAAGTTCCTTTGGAAAAAAATAAAATTAATTCTTTGTTTTATATAGAAACATACAGTGATTGTTGTGGTAAAAATAAATGGGAGCTCTTACCCCATCCTTTAAAAAAATGAGCATAAAATAATGAGATATTTTTCAAATTGAGACCTTGCAGATTTGTAAAGCTTAACTGTGTTATAGAGAAAGCTGACATGGTCAGTAGAGGTTGAGAATTTGTGCATTGGGAGCAGAGAACGTGTTGATAGGTAAGGGATAGCATAAGAAGTTTTGCCATAATTTTAAAATAATATGATCTTTAAAATGTAAAAGTATTTCCATAAATTATAACTAATCTTAAATCATTAAATACAGCTTTGCTTATAAAACTGAGTATTTGGGGGAAACAGATTAAGTGAAACTGCCAAGCTATATTACTTTAATCTAACTTTTGTGTCTTCTTTCTTGTTTCTCAGTTTGAAAGTAATTGCTTAAGATTTGTCTTCTTGCTGATTTCACTTCTTGCTGACTTAAAGAAACTATTACCTCAATCCAGTTTTAAATAAAGGTCAGATTAGAAAAGCATAAACTTATTTAAATGTTATTTTACTTCCCCCATTATTCCCAACTTTGTAGTGTATTTAGGTTACAAAAAATTTACAAAGTCTTCCTTGGATCTTTACCTACTTAGGTGTCCCCTCAGCTCTCAGCACTATCTAAATAAAATAGTTCACTTCTCTGACAGTGTCAAATCTTGGTTCTCCTCCTCTGTGTACATCACTGCTTGGAAATTTTTACATGCTTTTCCTACTTGTCCCAGAGTTTCTTTCTCTCCACCAGCCCTATACTTCTGTCCAAAGTGTACAATACTTTTCAAGTATTTACCTGGATATTTAGGAAAAATAAAACCATCTCTTTAGGTTTGTCTTTTTTCCTCCAAAATTCAAAGATATCACTTCAGGTCCACTCTTTGCTTTGCTGTTCCTGTTAAAAATGGAAACTTATAGGGAGAAATTATATGAAGAAAAACATAGTGGAAATTGGAAAGAATGAAAATATAGATTGGAAAATTCTTCTTTTATTCTTTTATTTTCTAAAAGCATAGACTTTTGCAGCTCAAAATTCTATATCATTATACATTCTCAACAGTTTTTTAACAAATGTTATAGATTAAAAATATTTCAGATAATAGTTATAATAGCTTCCAGTTCTTTTTCTTTGTCATCTGTATGATTAAGCATAACAACTCACTCTTAAACATGGGCAAGGACTTTCTAAGCATAAAAGCAGAGAGTGCAAATATAATAAACATGTCTACATAATATGTATGCATGTCTGATCCTCCAAATCTGTGTGTGTAGATAGTGAAAGACTATTCACTGAGAAACGTGATTGGATATTGCTTGAATGTTTTCTGAAAAATTCTTTTTCTCCCTATTCCAGGAGTCTATGAACTGGCCACTTTTCAGATGAAACCTGGTGGGCCAGCTCTGTGGGGTGATGCATTTAAAAGGGCAGTTCATGCTCATGTCAATCTAGGCTACACAAAACTAGTTGGAGTGTTCCACACAGAGTACGGAGCACTCAACAGAGGTACAATTGTCCATTTCTTCTTATATGAAATTGTAATATATATTGTGACCTAAGTTCCTTGGGTCAGGTTCTTTCTCATTATAGAGTATGTTTTATTATTTATTGCCAAATGTTTAGTTTTTTGTAATTTTTAAAATTGAGAAAATCTGTTTTACATCTTATTTATTTAGAATGTTAACTTATGAAACCTTCAAATGCTGAATAGCTGTTTTCCCTGATACATCAAAATGATTAAATTTTTTAAACTGAAGGAACCTCGGCTGGGCACGGTAGCTCAGGCCTGTAATCCCAGCACTTTTGGAGGCTGAGGGGGTGGATCACCTGAGGTCAGGAGTTCGAGACCAGCCTGGCAAACATGGTGAAACCCCGTCTCTAGTAAAAATAGAACAAATTAGCCAGGCATGGTGGTGGGGGCCTGTAATCCCAGCTATTCTGGAGGCTGAGGCAGGAGAATCACTTGAATCCAGGAAGCGGAGGTTGCAATGAGCCAAAATCGTGCCATCGCACTCCAGCCTGGGTGACAAGAGCAAAACTCCATCTCAAAAAAAAAAAAATGAAGGAACCTCAAGAAATAGTCTGTTACTTTCATCATTTCTTTTTCCTCTGAATGTACTTTTATTGATTTTTTAAAAATAATATTATTTGGGGTAGGGAGATTATCTCTAAGCAAAAAAGTAATATATGTTTTGTATAAATATGAAAACCCCCCTCATAAAAATTTACCCATTTTCCACCAGTTTTATATATATCTATATAGGGAGATATAGTAAATATGTATATATATTGAGGTAAATTTATATATGGATATAAATTTATTTAATAAAACACATACTTGGGGTATTTAACTTGTAATGTTGAAAAACATTTCAATCAGAATTTCAAGATTTTTTGTGGCAAATTCAGAAAAACATTTGTAAAGTTTATCTGAAAGGATAAAAGAGCTGATGAGGTAGCTCATACCTGTAATTCCAGCGCTTTTGGGAGGCTGAGGCTGGTGGATTGCTTAAGCCCAGGAGTTCACGACTAGCCTGGGCAACACAGCTTGTCTCTACAAAAAAAATTTTAAGAATTAGTTGGGCATGGTGGCAAACACCTGTAGTCCTAGCTACTTGGGAGGCTGAGGTGGGAGGATTGCTTGAGCCAGGAGTTCAAGGCTACAGTAAGCTATGATTGCACCACTGCACTCCAACCCCTGAACGACATAGTGAGACCCTGTCTCTTAAAAAAAAAAAGTAACGAAGAAAGGATAAATGTCTAAGAATAGCTAACAAATATTTGAAAGACTCATCATAATATCCTGTTGCCTTTCTATTATCTCTTTATGTCCAATGGACATCTCAAACCTAATATACCCATCTTTATGCAGAAATTCAACTTCTTGTAATAATCTATCATAAGAAAATAGAATATATAAAAACAGATGTATATTCAGGTTGGAAAATACATGGAGGAGAAACTGTTATGAAAATTATTAGATGCCTATCTCACACCATATGCGAAAATAAAGTCAAGCTGGATTGTATATTTTAATGAAAAAAATTTAATTCATAAAATTGGTAAAACAAAATGTAGATGAATTTATTTAATAATGTGGATTGGGACTATATTTGTAAGCCAAAAGCAAATGAAGAAACTATGAAGAAAAAAAAATCAACTTATGATTTTATTATACAAAGGCTCAAACTATCTGGATGCCTGAAAATCACCATAAATGAAATTCAAAAGCAAAAATAAAAATAAAAATTTATGCAAAAGTAGACATGCACATGGCTACTAAATATATATTAAAGAAAATGCATATTAAAACAATAATGAGATGCCATTTCTTTACCTTATAAAAGGTATACTTACATGGATATAGTATTAGGTCAGGAAAAAATAAGTACTCAGATACTGTGTAGGGTTCATATTAGCTTAATCTTCCCCCAAAATTTGACAATAAAAATAAAAGCCTTATTTTTATTGTTTTTGCCAGTATTACTTCTAGAAAATATGCCTGGGTGTGTATGTGTATAGGTGTGCTAAATTATACAGAAAAGAAATTTGAAAGTATATAACATACATAGTAGTCATATTTCAGTGAGATAAATGGTTAAGTCTCTATGTTAATATTCTTTTTTTTTTTTTTTTTTTGAGATGGAGCCTCGCTCTGTGGAGTGCAGGTACGATCTCAGCTCCCTGCAACCTCCGCCTCCTTGGTTCAGGCGGTTCTCCTGCCTCAGCCTCCCAAGTAGCTGGGATTACAGCTGTGTGCCACCATGCCCAGCTAATTTTTGTATTTTTAGTAGAGACAGGATTTCACCAGGCTGGTCTCAAACTCCTGACCACAGGTGATCCGCCCGCCTCGGCCTCCCAAAGTGGTGGGATAAGAGGCCTGAGCCACTACACCTAGCCTCTACCTTAATTTTCTATACTGCACATATTAAGTTTTATTTTTTTAAAAACTACAGAAAATGTGTGTTCATACACTTTTTAATCTTAAATTCATTCTCAGTGTTAGGAGAATTGGTAATCAGTACATCATTTCTGGAGGACAGTGTATACTATATACACTATATGTAAGTACATATATATAAGACATGCTCTTTGGTTCTGTCAACTTAAATTCTACTTTATATTAAGGAAATAATCAGATTCAGACTGCCTGGGTTTGAATCCCAGGTACACTACTTACTTTTTGACTTTGGGTAAGTAAACCTCACCATACCTTAGTTTTTTCATCTATAAAATGATAGATTATTATGAGGACCTAGATTATTATGAGGATTAAATGAGTTAATACATTAAAATGCTTAAAACTAGGCCTGACACATAGTTATCATTCAATAAATGTCAGTAGTTGTCATCGAAAGTATTATTATAAACACATAGTTGTGCTCAAATGAAGTTTATGTTAATATTGTTTACATTAAAGAAACATTGGAAATGTAGTATGACCTTCTTTATGTAATACATACGTAATACAGAAATCGATATACATGTACGTCATATCGTGTATTTACATAAGCATAAGCAAATATGCTTATATATGTTTATTTGTATACATATACAACTATATATAAAAATACAGGCCAGGCGTGGTGGTTCATGCCTGTAATCCCAACACTTTGGGATGCCAAGGCAGTAGGATTGCTTGAGGCTAGGAGTTCGAGACCAGCCTGGGCAACAAAGTGGGAACCTGTCTCTACAAAAATAAAAATAAAATTAAAATTAAAAAATAAAAATACATATATACACAAATATAGAAAGAGATACACCAAATATAAAAGAGATACACCAAAAATAAAATGATTAGTTTGTTTTTAATCTGCATTTTCCTATACATCTAACATGTATATATTACAATTATAAAAACTTCATAAGCAATTTTGTACAAGAACAACATTTATTCCAGTATTTTATAGAATACTGAAATATTGGAAATAGTCTAAATAGTCAACAATAAGGGGTTGACATAATAAGTTGCTGTATCTGTAAGGAGGAATTTATATAACCATTAAAAATTAATATTGCCATAGAAAATACTGTTTTTAAAAACTTGTTACTAAGCTAAATCTGTTATTATAATATACAATAAGACCCTGATTTGGTTTTACTCATATTTTCTAAAGGAAGTACAATAAATTTCCATAGAGGTTTTCTCTATACTGTTAACATTATACCACTTTCAATTTTCTTCTTTGTATAATGTAAAATTTTAATAATAAGCACAATTTGCTCATAATTTTGCTTTTTTAAAAATCAAGGGAAAATATAGTAGGAAATCATAAAATTTGGGTCTTGTCTTGATTGTGCCTCTAGCTGTTTTACTTCAGTACTTCCGTTTTCCAGCCTTCTATTTCTTCATCTATAAAACCAATTTGATTAATTTATCAATTTCTCTAGCAAGTCTCTGACCCCTCTGAAATCTTATCAGTAACATATTTAGTTTTACCTTTTTGATATCACTATTTCGATTTAAAGAATAGGATGGTTTTGGCCAAGCGCGGTGGCTCACGCCTGTAATCTCAGCACTTTGGGAGGCTAAGGTGGGCGGATCACCTGAGGTCAGGAGTTCGAGACCAGCCTGCCCAACATGGCAAAACCCCATCTCTACTAAAAATACAAAAAAAAAAAAAAATTAGCCGGACGTGGTGGTGGGCGCCTGTAATTCCAGCTACTCAGGAGGCTGAGGCAGGAGAATCGCTTGAACCCAGGAGGCAGATGTTGCAGTGAGCCGAGATCGTGCCACTGCACTCCAGCCTAGGTGACAAGAGTGAAACTCTTGTTTCAAAAAAAAAAAAAAAAAAAAAAAAAGAATAGGATGGGTTTGATTCATTTTTCTGTTATTTCTTATTTGTTAAGGCCATATTTTTTAGAAGCTACTTGTGGTTTATTTCTGCAGTTCATGTTCTTTGGTGGAATGAGAGTGCAGATAGTCGTGCAGCTGGGAGACATAAGTCCCATGAGGATCCCAGAGTTGTGGCAGCTGGTAAGCTGTTTGACTAGGCATGAATTATTTTTAGAACAAATGTGTTTCAGTCAGTAACTCTATATGCCTTTCTATGAAATGTTTTTCCAGTTCGGGAAAGTGTCAACTACCTAGTATCTCAGCAGAATATGCTTCTGATTCCTACATCGTTTTCACCACTGAAATAGTTTTCTACTGAAATACAAAACATTTCATTAACTGCTATAGGATCTGTCTGCTAATGGTGCTTAAATTCTCCCAAGAGGTTCTCACTTTTATTTGAAGGAGGTGTTAAGTTAATTTGCTATGTTTCTTGCATTATGAAGGCTACATCTGTGCTTTGTAAGTACCACTTCAAAAAATAGTTCTGTTTACTTTCTGCATGGTATTTCAGTGTCTGTCATACATTAAAAATACTTGTCACTGTTTTAAGATCTTGACTCTTCATTTGTTTCAGAATAGCTCTTCTACTGTATTCTGACAACTCTTTGCTTTATAGCATTTTGTTGTATTCAAATGATAATGGTAGCATTTCCATGCTTGTGACAGCATTTTTAAGTTATTAATATATTTTATCAACCTTTCCATCATGTCTGTTTTCCTGGTTTTTTTTGGTTGTTTTTTGACCAGTAAAATTTATTTTGTAATACCAAATAGGATTTAAGAAAATTAACGTATTTCTTTACTATGGAAAACCACATTGTCATTTGTGACATCATCTATATTAAATATGGTTTTCACATTAGTTATTTGTCACTTACTTGGAAAATGATGCTGTTAGGTCCTGGTATTAAAAATCTAGAAAAGACTTGTTGGTTTATGTGCTGAAATGTCTTTATTTATAATTAATTTTAACTACTATTTACTTCATTTCGGATCCTGTTTAACAAAGATACTTGAGACATCCATTTGTTTTAATGAAATCTGTATGGATATGGAAATGCTTGCCCTAATAAAAGCCTACATATACCTTCTGGTTCTTTTTGTTGAGTTTTATATATTTATCTTTTCTGAAGCTATTGCTGTATTGCTATAAGGTAATGAGACAATACCAATTTACCGTCTTTACTGTAAATATTAAGTTACCTCAAGAAAATTGTATCCCACTAACCCCAGAATCAGAGTTTCTTTAGTACTGTCACAGATGTGGTAGTGTTTTCCTACAAACAACTTTAATTTTTAATTGAGTGCTTCCTATTAAAGTAGATTTGGTACTTCCAAGACTATGAAATCTATATTTACAGCTATGTTATTTTTACATTTCTATGTTATTTTATATTTTTATTTTACACTGCTATTACATATAGCAAAGATAGTAAATTATGAATTAGCCATCTGAGGGAAATTGGAAAAGCAGAAAGTATAGTAACCCCTCATTTATCTAGCTCCCAGGGATTCAAAGGACAGATGAGTTTCCTACTAAGGCAAAGAAGACCCAACACTGGAGGTAAAAACTTATCACGGAAGTTAGAGGCATTGGCTCTGAGTTTTGTCTAAGAGTCTTCCATCTCAATGTTTATTTGGAAAGTTTTCACTCAGGAAATTTAAGCATCTAGAGTTTACATGTACAACTGCTGTCCTCCTACCCAGTTGGGCCAGCACTGGATACACCTCTCCTGCTTTTGCATGAGCCTGACCTTTAAAAAAAAAAAAAAACATGCAAGAACATCATCAAGTAGATTGTTCCCTTTGCCCACTTCTTGTAATTCCCACCATCCTTCAGCTAATACTTATTTGTTATGAGAGGTGTAAAAATGCATCTTCACACTCATCAGATCAGATGGGCAATAATAAGAAATTGGTCAGGAAAACCTCATACACTGCTATTAAGAATATACATTTATAGAACAGTTTGGCACGATTTAATAAAGATGAATATATACATAACTTATGACCCAGCAATTCCATTCCTAATTATATACTCTAGAGTAGTGGTTTGTAACCTCTAGTACACAAATCCTGAAGGATAGAATTCAGAGTCTGATAACTTGGATAGGTAAAAGTTCCATCTTTATTGGCACCAACTTCTAAGCATTTCCTTTGTTTGTGAAGGTAGGCAACAAACCACAATATTATTAGCAGGACCTGCAACTTTTTAGTCAGTAAAAATCACAGATACTGTCAAATTCTATTTATAGTTGTTGCAAATACAGAAAATTTATTTTACCTTCATCACTACTTCAAAATTATTATACCTCTTACACCTACCATTAGATATTGTTATTTAATATCTTATAAAGAATAGGTCTATTTCTTTATCAAGAATTTGCTTTTAGCAGTCCTAAGCAAAAAGAACAAAGCTAGAGGCATCACACTACCAGCCTTCAAAATATACTATAAGCTATAGTAACCAAAACAACATGGTACTGGGATAGAAACAGAAACAGACCAATGGAACAGAATATATAACCCAGAAATTAATCCATACATCTACAGCCAACTGGTTTTTGACAAAGGTGCCAAGAACATACACTGGGGAAAAGACAGTCTCTTCAATAAATAGTGCCAGGAAAACTGGATATCAATATGCAGAAGAGTGAAACTAGACCCCCACCTCTCACTCTATACAAAAATTCAGTTCAATGGGTCAAAGAGCTAAGTGTAAGACCTGAAACTAAAAGTACTAGAAGAAAATATAAGGGAAATGCTTCCGGACATTGTCTGGGAAAAAGTTTTATGAATAAGATTTCAAAAGCACAGACAACAAAAGCAAAAATAGATTATGTCAAACTAAAAAGCTTCTGCACAGCAAATGAAAAAATCAACAGAGTGAAAAAACCACCTATAGAATGGGAAAAAATAATTGCAAACTATTCATCTGACAGGGATTCATATCCAGAATATACAAGAAACTCAAACATCTCACCAGCAATAAAAACCAAACAAATCAATTTAAGAATGGGCAAATGATCTGAACAGACATTTCTCCAAAGGAGACATACAAATAGCTCACAAATACATGAAAAATGTTCAACATCACTCATCATCAGGGAAGTGAGGTATTATCTCACCCCAGTTAGGCTATTATCAAAAAGTCAAAAAACAAAGCTGATGAGGATGCAGAGAAAAGGAAAATCGTATACACTGTTGGGAATGTAAACTCTTAGAACTACTATGGAGAACACTATGGAGTTTCCTCAAGAAACTACAAATAACCCACTACTGAGCATTATCCAAAGGAAAAGAAATCAGTATATCAGAAAGACATCTTCCCTCCCCCATGTTTATTGCAGCACTGTTCACAATAGCCAAGATACAGAATCAGCCTAGGTGTCCAGCAAGATTAATGGATAAAGAAAGTATGTTATATATACACAATGGAATACTATTCAGCAGTAAAAAGGAATGAAATCCTGTCCTTCACAGCAACATGGCTGGAACTGGTGGATATTATGTTAAGTGAAATATGCCAACAAGAGAAAGTTGCACACCACATGTTCTCATTAATGTATAAGCTTTAAAAAAAGTTGATTTCAGAAATAAAAAGTATAACAGGATTCTAGAGGATGGGAAAGATTAGGAGGAAGACAAGGATGGGAGAGATTTGTTAAACAAAATTATAGCTAGATAGGAGGAATAAGTTCTAGTGCTCTATACCACTTCAGGATAACTATAGTTAATAATATATAGTTTCAAATTGCTAGGAGGATATTGAATGTTCTCAACACAAATGATAAGCCCCCGGGGGAGTGGCTTCTGTGAGACCTAAATCCTCATCTGCCACAGAAGGAAGGCAACACATACTCTCCATAACTGAAAATGCAAGAAATAGCAGAAAATGACTATTATTTAAAAATACGGGCCAGGCGCAGTGGCTCGTGCCTGTAATCCCAGCACTTAGGGAGGCTGAGCCGAGAGGATCACCTGAGGTCAGGAGTTCAAGACCAGCCTGCCCAACATGGTGAAACGCCGTCTCTACTAAAAATAGAAAAATTAGCCAGGTGTCGTGGCGTGCGCCTGTAATTCCAGCTACTCAGGAGGCTGAGGCAGGAGAATCTCTTGAAACCGGGAGGCGGAGGTTGCAGTGAGCCAAGATCATGCCACTGCACCCCAGCCTGAGCGACAGAGCAAGACTCTGTCTCAAAAAAATAAAAAACATACGGAAACAGGTATTAGAAGAACAGCTTAAAATGTTGAAGGTGGTTAGTCTGGGGACCAGTACTCTGGGACTGGGAGGACTAGACCAGAGGTCGGCTGTTTTGCTCTTAAGGCTTACAGAACGATCTAGTTTCAAACTATCTATGTTTAACTTCGACTTTTTCCTATCAGGCTCGGTGCTGCTATTCCACTGAGCTCATGGAAAATTAAATCTTTATTAGGAGCCTTCCAAGATCACAGTGGGGTGGCAATGGGGACAGATAATGCAGAAAAGCGAAGGCTCACTGGTCTACAAATACACGTCTATCACAACCTGTAAAAGTTAACCCTGTCCCAGCCTGGCCAATATGGTGAAACTCCGTCTCTACTAAAAAATACAAAAATTAGCGGGGCGTGGTGGCGGGCGCCTGTAGTCCCAGCTACTGGGGAGGCTGAAGCAGGAGAATGGCGTGAACCCGGGAGGCGGAGCTTGCAGTGAGGCGACATCGCGCCAGTGCACTCCAGCCTGGGCGACAGAGCAAGACTACGTCTCAAACAAAGAAACAAGTTAACCCTGTCAACATCTCGACTTTAAATGCAAAGCACTGCACATGCACACGCTGAACACCTCCCCTTCCTTCTCCAGGGGCAACACAAGCACAACCGCCGCACATTTACGAATCTACACAACTGCGCATCGGAGCGAATGAGGTCAGGGCCCAGAAAGGTGGGGCAGGAACGATCCCAGCCTTCAGCTAATTCTGTCACCTCTAACGTCTGGGGCAAGAACGTTTCAGGAAACCAAGGGGGACCGAGGCTCAGCGCCGAAGAGAAAGACGCCAACTGCGGGACCTGTCGCGCCTCCCGCGCCGGGGTGGAGCTGACCCCGCCGAGTCCCGCCCCTGCCTGAGTTCGCCAGTGGTCCAGGAGCCGCTTTTTTCCACTCGGGAAGACTTCAGAGAAGTCTCACAAAGGACTCGGCTGGCTGCTTTTCTCAGTGCCGAAGCCGCGCCATGCTCGTTCTCAGAAGCGGCCTGACCAAGGCGCTTGCCTCACGGACGCTCGCGCCTCAGGTACTGGCCGCGGGGGCGCGCCCGAGCCCTGGCCGGAGGGGAGGGGAGGGGCGGGGGGTATTTCTGAAGCGTGCGAGCCACGCTCAGGCGCTCCCAGACCTGGGGCCCCGCGCCGCCGCCGAAGTTCTAACGCGGTCTCTGGAGCCGTCTGGCGCGCAAGGAGGAGGCTACAGGCCGGGGTCGTCTCGCTGGCAGTCGCTGTCAGAGGGGTTTTCTAACTGGATGCCAGTGTTTTTGTGATTTTTGTTTTTGTTTTTGAGACGGAGTCTCGCTCTGTCGCCCAGGCTGGAGTGCAGTGGCGTAGTCTCGGCTCAGTGCAACCTCCGCCTCCCGGGTTCAAGCGATTCTCCTGCCTCATCCTCCGGAGTAGGTGGAATTACAGGCGCCAGCCACCACGCCCGGCTAATTTTTTTTGTGTTTACTATTTAGTAGAGTCGGGGGTTTCACCATGTTGGTCAGGCTGGTCTCGAACTCCTGACCTCGTGATCCGCCCACCTTGGCCTCCCAAAGTGCTGGATTGCAGGCATGAGCCACTGTGCCCAGCCTGATGCCAGCTGTTTCTAGCCTAAATGCCACAACTCCCGGGACACCCCCGTGGCGCCAGCTGTTGCGTTTTTTTAGGATAACATCTCCAGATACAAATCTCCGAAAATCAACTTTAAAAGCAGTTATTAGAAATACCTCATTGGCCCATTTTCCGAGATAATAATATTTTTAAACTGTAGATACTAAGCAGTTTTTTATTTTCAGAATTTGATTAAACTGACCCAAAAAGAATGGCCATCAAAAGAAAGGATAGTTGCAGGTATTTTTTGGTATGAAGAAGGGTTTTCTAAGAAAACTAAGACACTTGGGCAATAAGGGCATAACTCATACTGGAGATGAATGAACTCAAGATAGACAATTATAATTAAGACGTTATGCACACAAACTACATAGACATTTGCATGTTGTAACCAAAAATATGTCAGTGAAAGATGCCTACTGAAACTGTTGCGATAGATTATTCTGGGTAGTGAGCCTCAGGAAATTGTCACATGCTAACCATGCCTAAATGAATGGATTTGTAAACTAGAATGCCACGGGAGTGGTCTGTGTATACACGTGTGTTTACATAAATATTTGCATGTACGTACATACAGACAGACTGGATAATTTCTGACAGGGCATTTGCTACTGAACATTAAGCTCACTCAGGCTCAGAGGGCCAGATTAGGACAGAAAATTTACCCATTGGGCATATGACTATTACAAAGGGTGGTTCTTAAAGGATAGTTCCATAAACTTGGTATAATTGAGTGCACTAAATGTACATACTTCTTGATATTGCATCTGTAATTAGAAACAATGATGGAGACAATTCTCATTTGTTGAGTTTTTTTCCTTTTCAGCCTTTATGCAGTATACACCCATAGTACAATGCAATTGGATAAGTTATAGCTTCCTTTTATATTAGTTACATTCCAGTCCTGTTTTTGACCGGTAGTCTTCATCAGTAGATTCAGGAAATACTTTGACCTGAATAGCCCTTCCTGTTTTTTTAGGAACCTTTTAAAAACAAGAGTTTTTTGTTAGTAAACGTATTTTTGGGCCTGCCAAAAGGCATGTGTACTTAATAAATTTTTTTCAATGTGTGGAACTAATACATATGGTATTGAGTAAGATGGAATATTGGCTAAACAGGGGAAAACCCTTTGTAAATTAAAGAGACTAAGTCTTAAATGTAGTTCTTCGGTAAAGGAGTATCATTATGATCCCACAGCCTTCTTGTGAGCAAATTCTCGTGAAAAAATGGCTAGAGGTAGACCCCTGCTAGGAAACAGTTGCTATATATTCATCAGAATTAAGAGTAGTTATCTTTATTGACATCTCTATGTAAACAAGTGTATATGGAGAATTGACAACAAAAGTAAACAATGGATAATGAGTCTATGTGTGTTCCTTGTACCAGACTCAGATTTGGTTGTAACCAAATCTGTAATTGTACCTTCCCAAGATATTTACATTTGTCTTACCTCCTTCAGGTGTGTTCATCTTTTGCTACGGGCCCTAGACAATACGATGGAACGTTCTATGAATTTCGTACTTATTACCTTAAACCTTCAAATATGAATGCGTTCATGGAAAATCTTAAGAAAAACATTCATCTTCGGACCTCTTACTCTGAATTGGTTGGATTCTGGAGTGTAGAATTTGGAGGCAGAACGAATAAAGTGTTTCATATTTGGAAGTATGGTAAAGAGTCATCCAGTTTTAGTATTCAGTATAGATTTTCATTCTGTTAAATGTAACATAAGACTTAGTTCTTGGATCTATATTACCATAGATACATACAGGTTAAGTAAGACTTTTTAAAAGCAATACCAAAAAAATAAATTTAGCAGATCTTCTTCCCAGTGGTACACCTCTAACCACCCCTTGCTTGAACTCTTATGTTATCATAAATGAGAAAACATGCAGTCTCATATATCAAACCATAAAATTGTGAATTAGACTTTAATCCTCAGAAAAATGTTAGAATCGTTTGCTATAAAGATAGCTCATGAAAAATTTAAAGCAGTAATTGTAAATGTTCAAGTGGGTTAAGATCACCGTTGGGCCTGCCAAAAGACATGTATATTTAATAAAAATGTTTTAAATGTGTAACTAATGTATATGGTATTGACGAAGATGGAATACTGGCTAAATAAGGGAGAAAGCTTTGTAAATTTATGAGACTCCTAATTGCAGTTCTTGGGTAAAGGAGTGTCATTAGGATAAGATAATTTTTTTTTTCTTATTATTGTTACAGCTAGGGCTGGATATCAGCATTTTTGCAGAAATAATTCACCCATTTGGGAGCTTTATAAAAATGGAGGTTTTTAAAGGATGATAGTTAACTTTTAAGCGTCACCCAACTCTGAGATTTAATAATTCTGTTATGTTTAGAGACCACTTCTTTTTTCATTTCTGTACCCCAGAGTTTCAAGGAATTCTTTCATACTACCCTAGGGAGGTAAGGAAAAGGAATGAGAGACAGTCCTTCCCATATTGAAGCTGACCTACCCCTGGTTTAGTAGAGGAAAGAGAACAAGTAACAAGAATCCCCAGAATGTTTGTTACTTCCATGTCTGTTCTTAACAGTCCACATCAGGACTTGAGGATACCTAAAGAACTTTTAATAATTTCATTTACTGTTTAGTGATCAGTGTCCAAAGTTAATAGTCATAAAGTAATTTAATATGAAAAGTGTTCATTCTATGCTTGACGTAACTCTTTAGTTTTTCCCTGTTATAATAAAACAGACCCTATTAAAACATAATTTATGCTTTAGATAAACCACAAGTTGAAACATGTCCCATTGAAAAAACTGCTAATAAAGTGTTTATAATTCATTTATATGCTTTAGATAAACCACATATATAATCCACTTATGTGCGTTAGGTGAGCCACAAGTTTAATTGTGTCCCATTAAACTGCTCGTAAAGTCTTTACAATTCACTTGTAAGATAGGTGTTATTCCTTATCCTCAGCATAAATCATATAATTCATTTACTATTAGTCTTAGGAGGCCCTAAAAGTAAATATACTATAGTTGTCCCTCTGTATTTGCAGGAGGTTGCAGGAGGTTGGTACCAGGAACCCCTGTAGATACCAGATTCAGCTCAAGTCCATTATATGAAACAGCATACTGTTTCCATCAAACCCACACACATCCTTCCATATACTTTAAAGCATCTCTAGATTATTTTTAATCCCTAATACAATATAGATACTATGTAAGTAGTTGTTATACTATATTATTTCACTTGTATTTTTAAAAAATATTTTTAATCTGCAGTTGGTTGAATCCACAGATGCAGAACCTGTGGAGAGGGAGGGCTGACTATACTAGGCCCATATCTTGGTAAATGTATATACCTGTTTGGGTAACTTAGAAAGAAGAGAAATAAGTTGTAGAGAAAAAGAATTACTGACAAGAAATAAAAGAATCAGCACTATTTCATTGGGAGCTGTTGTTCAAAAAAGAGGCTTAAAAAGTGCATCTTAATTTCATTTATGTTAACTTTGATTCAAAGTGTACCTTGACCTAATCACCCACCACCAAGGAAAAATAGTCTTTCTCTATAAATCAAATGCTTCCATTGATAAGAATCGTTAACATATACTGAGTACTAACTAAGGTGCCAAACACCATTCTAAGCTCTTTTCATGTACTAATTCATTTAATCCTCACAACAACACTGGAGGTAGATGTTATACTATTTTCTTCACAGAATAAGAAACTGAGGCACAGAAAGATTGAATAACGAACCTAATTCACACAACTTCCTAAGAAAGTCTTAGAGCCTATAAAGCCCATTCTATGTCAATTAAGTTAGTTTTTTACATTTCAACTCCCCTTTTAGACCATGAGTAACTTGAGAGCAGTTGTCACATATATTTATGTTGGCATCTCCAGCGACATAATAACATGGGGTTCCCATATGGCCTTGCACGTTTGCTGAACTGAGTAAAATTCAAGTAAAAATATGGGCGATTTTAAATAAAAAAACATTTTCTTAACTATTTTCCTCCCATAGATAATTTTGCTCATCGAGCTGAAGTTCGGAAAGCCTTAGCCAACTGTAAGGAATGGCAAGAACAATCTATCATTCCAAATTTGGCTCGCATTGATAAACAAGAGACGGAAATTACTTACCTGATACCATGGTCCAAATTAGAAAAGCCTCCAAAAGAAGGTGAGTTCTTCCCTCTTAGACTATGAGTTTTAATGAGTAAAATACTAAAGACCTAAAGTTATAAAGAGTAAAGTTCTATAGGAAAAAAATATATAATTCTTTGTTTTATATAATAATATATGATGAGTCTGGAGATAAAAATGAATTAGAGACTGGGCGCGGTGGCTCACGCCTATAATCTCAGCACTTTGGAAGGCCGAGGCGGGCGAATCACTTGAGGTCAAGAATTCAAGATCCGCCTGGTCAACGTAGTGAAGCCCCATCTCTACCAAAAATACAAAAATTAGCTGGGTGTGGTGGTGCATGCCTGTAGTCCCAGCTACTAGGGAGGCTGAGGCAGGGGAATGGCGTGAACCCAGAAGGCGGAGCTTCCAGTGAGCCGAGATCTCGCCACTGCACTCCAGCCTGGGCGACAGAGCGAGACTCCGTCTCAAAAAAAAAAAAAAAAAAGAGAATTAGAGTTCTAGAGCTCTTTGCTTATCCTTAAAACATTGAGCTTATCCTTAAACATTGCTTATCCTTAAAACAAAAAATGAAGTATTTTTCCATATTGAAATCTAACGGATGCCTAACAAAAGTTGACATGGTCAATACAGGTGAAAAAGTGGGGCTTGGGAGCTAGGAAAACAGGTGTAGGTAGATGAGTCGTAGTTCATGAAATTTTGTCACAGTTTTAAAATGTATAAACTTTTAAATATAAAAGTATTTTTTCCACAAAGTCAGCTAATCTTAAATCATTAAGTACATCTTTGCTTGTAAACTGACTGTTTTGGGGGAATGAATTAACTTACACTGCTAAGCTACATTATTGTAGTTTAACTTTTGTGTCTTCCTCTTTCTTGTTTCTCAGTTTGAAAAGATTTGTCTTCTTCCTGATTTCACTTCTTGCTCACTAAAGGAAATAATTACCTCTATCTAATTTTAAACAGAGGTCAGATTCGAAAAGCATAAACTAATTTAAATTTCATTTTATGTCTCCCATAAACTCAACTTTGTATTTTATTTTAGATTATAAGAGATTTGAAAAGTCTTGTTTGGATTCTAATGTACTTAAAACTCCCCTTAACTTTCAGCACTAAGTAAAACAGTTGACTTCTCAGTGTCAAGTCTTATTAATAGTTCCCTTCCTCTATGTTGTTCATAATTCTTTAGTAACTTTGTATTTCTTTCCTTTTTCTTGTCCAATCTACCTTGTCCTCTAGTTTCTTTCTCTCCACCCATCTTATACTTCTGGCCAGAAGGTAGAATGGTTTTTAAGCATTTACCTGGATATTTAGGAAGAATAAAACCATCTCCTTGAGGGTTTTCTTTTTTTCCTTAAAGGCTCAGACATGACTTTGGGTCAACTAGAAATAGAATCCTACCGGAGAAAATTATACAAAGGAAAAAGTTATTTCCTCTCAAAATTGAAAAGGAGAAGGAAATGTAGGATATCAGAAAGTACTTCTCTTATGCATTTCTTTTTTAAAAAGTGTAGACAGGCAGCTTGAAAATTCTGCTTCATTATACATTCTCAGTATCTGTTTTCCTGACAAATTTTATAGATTAAAAATATTTCAGAGTGTAGTTTATATATAGCTTCCAGTCCTTTTTCTTTATTTTCTTTATGATTAATTTTAACAACTGACCCTTAAACATGGACAAAGACTTTCTAAACATAAAAGCAAAGAAAAATAATGCAGAGAATCAATAAATGTGACTGCATATGTATGTATACATGGATTATCCTCTAACTTCATTGGTTAGCCTTCTAATGAAATCAGGAAAACCTGGTTAGAAATTGTTTGAATGTCTTCTGTGAAATAATTATTTTTCTCCCTATTCTAGGAGTCTATGAACTAGCTGTTTTTCAGATGAAACCTGGTGGGCCAGCTCTGTGGGGTGATGCATTTGAAAGAGCAATTAATGCCCATGTCAATTTAGGCTACACAAAAGTAGTTGGTGTTTTCCACACAGAATATGGAGAACTCAACAGAGGTACAGTTGTCCATTTGTTCTATGAAGTTGCCATGTGTATTAGATCAGTTCGTCTCTCTTTTTCATTTTGGTACCTGTTTTAATTTTTATCTCCAAATTTTTAGAGTTTGTTGTTTATAGGATTGAAAAAATCTATAAGCATCTTATTTTACATCTTATTTTTTTAGAATGTTAATACTTTATGGAGCCTTTTTCAAATGCTGAACTGGTGTTTGTTTTTTAACTTTTATTTTAGGTTCACGGGGTACATGTGAAGATTTGTTACTTAGGTAAACCCATGTCATGGGGGTTTGTTGTACAGATTATTTAATCACTCAGGTATTAAGCCCAGTACCCAATTGTTATCTTTTCTAATCCTCTCCCTCCTCCCATCTTCCATTCTCAAGTAGACCCCAGTGTCTGTTGTTTCCTTCTTTGTGTTCATAAATTCTCATCATTTAGCTCCCGTTTATAAGTGAGAACATGTGGTATCTGGTTTTCTTTTCCTCTGTTGGTTTGCTGAGGATAATAGCCTCTAGCTACATCCATGTTCCCACAAAAGTTATAATCTGGTTCTTTTTTATGGCTGCATGGTATTCCATGGTGTGTATGTACCACATTTTCTTTATCCAATCTGTTGTTGGTGGGCATATAGGTTTTCATGAAAAGATTCCAAGTTTTTGCTATTGTGAATAGTGCTGCAGTGAACATTCACGTGCACATGTCTTTATGGTAAAATGATTTATATTTCTCTGGGTATATATCCAGTAATGGGATTGTTGGGTCGAATGGCAGTTCTGCTTTTAGCTCTTTGAGGAATCACCATACTGCTTTCCATAATGGTTGAACTAATTTACACTCCCACCAACAGGGTGTAAGTGTTCCCTTTTTTTCACAACCTCACCAGCATCTGTTATTTTTTGACTTTTTAGTAACAGGCATTCTGACTGGTGTGAGATGGTATCTAATTGTGGTTTATATTTGCATTCTCTAATGATCAGTGATATTGAGCATTTTCTCATAAGTTTGTTGGTCTCATATATGTCTTCTTTAGAAAAGTGACTATTCATGCCCTTTACCTACTTTTTAATGGGATTCTTTTTTTCTCTTATAAACTTGTTTAAGTTCCTTATAGAGGCTGGATATTAGGCCTTTGTCAGATGCGTAGTTTGCAAAAATTTTCTCCCATTCTGGAGGTTGTCTGTTTACTCTGTTGACAGTTTTTTTTTTGTTTTTTTTTTTGCTGTGCAGAAGCTCTTAAGTGTAATTAGATACCATTTGTCAATTTTTGTTTTTATCATGATTGTTTTTGGTGTCTTTGTCATTCAAAATTAATATCATTGACATAGAAAATTCTCACATTGTTGCAGCATTTTAAAAAATCTGTTACTAAGTATAATATACACTAAGACCCTAATTTGGTTTACTAATTTTTTTTAAAGGAAACACACCATATGTTGATAAAGGTTTATCTAGGCAGTTAAGATTATACTAACTTTTATTTTTTCTTTGTATCACCTAAATTTTCTACAGTAAACAATTTTTTATAATCTGCTTTTTTTAAAAAATAAAACATAGTAGGAAGTCATTAAACTCGGGTCTAGTCTTAATTGTGCCTTAAGCTGTGTTTCTTTGCATTCTCTCTTCAGCCTTATGTTTCCAGTTTAACTTATAAATTTATCTTCCAAATTTCTGATCCCTCTGAAATCTTATAACTAACATATTTAGTTTTACCTTTTGATTTTGATTTAAAGAATAAGACAACATTTCTGATTCACTTTTTCAATATTTCTTATTTGCTATTGCCATATATTTCAGAAACTACTTGTGGTTTATTTCTGCAGTTCATGTTCTTTGGTGGAATGAGAGTGCAGATAGTCGTGCAGCTGGGAGACATAAGTCCCATGAGGATCCCAGAGTTGTGGCGGCTGGTAAGCTGTTTCACTAAGCACGAATTATTTTTAGAACAAATGTGATTCAACCAATAACTGTATGCCTTCTTATGAAATGTTTTTCCAGTTCGGGAAAGTGTCAACTACCTAGTTTCTCAGCAGAATATGCTTCTGATTCCTGCATCATTTTCACCATTGAAATAGTTTTCTACTGAAATACAAAACATTTCATTAACTGCTCTAAGATGTGTCTGCTAATGGTGCTTAAATTCTCCCAAGAGGTTCTCGCTTTTATTTGAAGGAGGTGGTAAGTTAATTAGTTAATTTGCTGTGCTTCTTGCATTTTTGAAAGTTACATATTCTCCACTGCTTTAAGAAATAATTCAGTTCACTTTCACCTTGGCATTTCAGTATCTGTTACACATTAGAAGTAGTTGTCACTATTTCATCATCTTGGTTTTTCATTTGTTTTAGAATACCTCTTCTGTATTTTGATAACTCATTGCTTTATAGCATTTTCTTTTACTCAAATAAGGATTTTACATTTCCTTGCCTGACAGTATTTTTGAATTATTTATATAAAATATCTATCTTTTCATCATGTCTATAGTTCCTGAGATTTTAAAAAAATTTGCTTAGTAAAGGTTATTTTGTGATATAAAATGGGATTTATAAAAATATTAGATTGTTTATTTCTTTACTGTGGAAAAGTACAATGTCATCTGTATTAATTATTGCTTTTACATTCATTGATTATTAGTCATTCTAACTTGGAAAATAATGCAATTGGGTCACAGTGTTAAAAATCTAGAAAAGACTTGTTGGTTTATATGCTGAAATTGTTCATTTATAATTAATTTTACTAATTTCTACTTAGTTTGGATCACTAACAGAGATCTTGGGACATTTATTTGTTTTAAAGAAATATTTATGGTTATGGAAACGCTTGCCCTAATAAAAATCCTGCATATTCATTGTTTTTTTAAATTCACATTTTATACTTATATGATCTCTAAAGCTCTTGCTATGTTGCTATAAGACAGTAATATAGTGATAATTTACCAACTTTATTGAAAATGTTGTTACATCAATAAAATAGCATGCTGGGAACCTGAGAAGGAAGGTTTCTTTAGTACTGCCACAGATGTCCTGGAGTTTTCCTTGAAACATCTTTCATTTCCATTTTACTTGATGCCTCTACCTACTAAAACTAGATTTGGTACTTCCGATAGTGTATATTTACAGCTATATTATATTTACATTTTTACAGACTATCTTCTGATAATCTGTATTTACAGCTATGTTATTTTATATTTTTAAAATCTTACAGCTATAAAATAGTAAATTGTGAATTAGCTGTCCAAGGGCAATTTGGAAAACAAACTGTACAGTTTCCTCTCATTTATCAGGCTCTAAGCGATCTGCAGTTTATCTGGGCTATTATGCAATGTGAGATATTATTTATGAGAGGCAGGCAGTGGCAGCTTAAACAGACATACCTCCTCAGCATTCTTTTCCATGCAGAGTTCAAAGAGGCCTAAGACATCTCACATTTATGTGAAATAGTTGAGGCACAAGTATGTGGTTAACTACACATAAATTACCAATAAAATTAAAAGTTAACTAAAATACTACAGAAGACATTTAATATTTTGCTTCAGACTGTTATAGTACCTTAGGGTTATGAACATCAATTACCTTTGAGCCTTACTATATTTAAAGGGAAGGGGAAGCTGACATTTTTATCTTTTTTAATGGGTACACTCTACGTTACCTTAAAGGCTTCCCCGGTTTAAGCAAAAATAGAATTATGTGGTTTAAATCATATACCTTATTCTTCATACTTAGCTCCAAGTAGATTATGACTTTTCCTAAAACTTAACATGACAGAGATTTGCCTTCCAGGGGGTCTAATTTGAAGAGGAAAGTAATTTAAATGTATAGGTTTATATAATAGCATTGTATTTTTCTCTATTTTATTCATTCTTTCATTCTCTTCGATGACTCCCAGCACCTGCGCGTCCATCTTCATTCTTAGCCAATGACCTTTCCTTTTACTTAACAGAGAAAATAACAATCAGAAGAGTCTTCATAAGTTCCCACCCCGTCTGCCCGCTTTCTACAGCCAACCCCACATGCCCTGCCTTCTCTCCTTTCACTGTGGATGAACCGCCCGTGCCCCAAGCAAAGACAAACCCTCCACTTGAACACTCACTTGCTGAAGGATGTGGCTTAGGCAGTTTTCCTGTCTCCTGAAGCCACAGTATTCCCCTTCAACTGGATTCTTCTCCTCAGCATATAAATATACTTTTTTTTCCTATCTTTAAAAAAAAAAAAGAGTAAAATCACCCCATTTTTTTCCTTTACAATATGACTCAAAAGAGTAGTTCATACTTCCTGCCTCCATTTTCTTCCCTCACATTATCTCTTAAACATTCTCTGATCACGCCAGCCAAATTGCTCTTGTCAACTCATTTCCCAGTTCTCATTTCACTTGACTTGTTAGCAGTTGACCTCTCCTTTCTTCTGGGAAGTTTCTTCGTTTCTCCGAAACACTCACTGCACAAGCCTTCATATCTCCTAGTCTCCATCTTGTCTCTTTGACCTCTGATGTAAGGACTGAGTCCTTGGACCACTTCTCTTTTCTATTTATACTTACTCCCTGCGTCATCACCCCCAGTCTTGTGGCTTCAAATGCTATCTGTGTGTGGATAGCTCCTCCAGTCCACACCTCTTTTCTGAATCTTTTTTCAAATTCACACATGTGAATTTGAATTCCAGGCTCATCACATCCAGGTGTGTTCCCCACACCTCCACCTGAATGTCTATTAGAAATCTCACACCCCTCTTGTCCAAAACTGAGCTCTTGATCTTTAACCAGAAACTTTATCTCAGCTATTGGCAACTCCAGGTTTCTGTTTTGCTCAGGCCACAGACTTCAGAGTCATTCTCACACTGCCTTTTCTCTCATACACCATTATGTACCTGTCAGCAGGTCCCAAATATCTAGAATTTGATTGCTTCACATCCCTATAGCAACTCTCCTGGTTCAAGCCCATCATCATCTGGATTTTTGGGAAGTGGTCTTAACTGGTGTGCTGCCCTTCCCCTCTGCTCTCAACCCTATTTTCAACATAGCAGTCAGAATAATCTAAAATATAAACCAGATCATATCACTCCTCTGCTCAACACCCCCTCCCAATACCTTCATGTCATCCTCAGAGTTATTGTCCAAGCCTCTAACTGTGGTCTACAAGTCTTTACATGATCTGTCCTGTTACATTTTCCACTCTCGCTCCAGACCTGACCTAAGAGGCTTTTCTCTGAACTTGCTAAACATGCTCTTACCTGAGGGTCCATTCCCACTGCCTCTGCCTGGAATGCTCTTCCCCAGACATGCATCTGCGTGGATCATTTCCATGCCTCCTCAGGTCTTTGCCCTCATGAAGCCTTCCCTGACAACCCTATTTAAGATTGTAATCCCCTCCCACAGTGGCCCCTATCTGCTAGAGACTGAATGTTTTTGTCCCCCCAAAATTCCTATGTTGAAGCCTTAATCTCAACATAGGAGGTTTGGCCTTTGTGAGTTAGTTTTAGATGAGGTCATGTGGGTAATAGAATTAGTGCATTTATAAGGGCGTGAAGAGCCCTCACTGTGAGGAAACCAGAATGTAAGCCTTCACCAGAACTTCTTCATGCTGGCACCCTGGTCTTAGACTTCCCAGCCACTAGATCTGTGAGAAAGAAATGTTTGTTGTTTAAGCCACCCTGTCTATGGTACTCTTGTTACAGCAACCTGAACTAAGACACTATCCCTCTCCCCTGCTTTCTTTTTCTGTTATCACCATAATTAATGTTTTACTTATATATGATTTGTTAATGTATGTCTCTTCCCACTAGAAACCGAATTCTATGACAGCAAGGGTTTTTGTTTTCATTATTGTCATATTACCTGTGCCTGGCATGTGATAAGCCCTAAGTACTTGTTGACTGAATTAACATATGAGATCTGTGAGTCTGAAAAAAGAAGTACATCATTCCTTCACATGTCATTTTGAGCCACTGTTAACAGATTACATAACTGTTATTGGAAGTGCCTCACTACTCCATTTGGAAAGTATTCCTGGAATACACGATGAATGACTCAGTAGAAGTTCTGGCTATGGGGGAGTGCCATCAATAAATAAAAATAATACCATTGTCTGTTGGTTATAAGTTGCTGTCACAGACTATGAAGGTATTTGAATTGTATTTTCAGGAAGAGAAACAGATATGCAACCAATCTGATTTGGTTCCACACCCTGCCACAGAAGTCCCAAAGGAGAAGCAAATGCCACTTGTAGACTCAAACTCTGGACTTCATTCTCAGCACCATCTCTTAACCTACTGAGTAAATCCTATGAACCTGACTAGGGTGGCAACTGAAGTTGTAGTACTTTCTGTCTTCAAAGGAGGGTGAACCTGGAGTATGTTGGAAGAAGTGTTAGGTTCATTAGAGACACCTCTTTCATAACTGCTGTCACCTAGAATGTCTATTCTCTAAGCACCTTCTTGAAAGAAGCACATTCCCCCAGGAGGAGGAAATGGTTTGTTTTCTTTAGTGACAGTTGGCCCAGGATCCTAAGGTAAAGGAGTATGGGCACTAGACAAAATGAGTTTTATAATAGTCGATTGGAAGGAATGGAAGTTTTTGAATCACAGGCTTCTGCCTTGAAAGGGCAAGTCCGTGGTGGTCATGAACCACCCAGAGTGTGTACAAGGCTCCTGCCAGAAGAAATGCCTGTAGGATTAAAAGCAAAACAGCAGAATCAAAAAGGAAGGGCACGATGATGCCCAGGTGCAGCCTATATTATTAACAGACAAGGAAAGAATCCAAATAAAAGTTCTGTAAACCAGCTGTTGTCCTGTTTTCTGTTTCCCTTCAAAGCAAAAATATAGATTTGCATATATTTGCAGTCTCCCCTTCCTTGCCTCTCAGTCTTCCCTGAAAATCTATTCCAGTTAGGTCTGCATCCTTGTCATGCTGAAATGACTCTTAGGAAGGTCACCAAGGACCTCTGTCTTAACAAATTCAATAGCCATTCCTGCCTTTACTCATTTACATTCCTTACTCATCTTCTCAGCAATGTTGGACATAATTGACAACTTCTGCCTTCCTGAAACAATAATTCTCTGAGCTTCAACATATGGCATTATACTCTTCAGATTTTACTCTCTCTCACTGGCCAGTCCCTCTCAATTTCCCTGGCTAGCTTCTCTTCTAAATGTTATAGGATCTCAGGCTCAAGAATGTTCCCTATCTTCATTCTCTCTAGGTAATCTCATTCAGTCCCGAGGCTTAAATATATACGTACCAATAACTTGCACACTTTTTTTTTTAGATGGAGTTTCGCTCTTGTTGCCCAGGCTGGAGTGCAATGGTGCGATCTCAGCTCACTGAAACCTCCGCCTCCCAGGTGCAAGCGATTCTCTTGTCTCAGCCTCCCAAGTAGCTTGGATTACAGGCATGCACCACCATGCCCAGCTAATTTTTTTGTATTTATTAGAGATGGGGTTTCACCATGTTAGGCTGGTCGCAAACGCCTGACCTCAAGTGATCCACCCGTCTCGGCCTCCCAAAGTGCTGTGATTATAGGCGTGCACCACCACGCCCAGCCAACTTGCACACATTTATCTTATTTTCCATCATTGCCCCTGAGCTTCAGACTGAAATACCCACTGCATTTTTAACACAACCATCTACCTAGTTCAGGTCACAAACTAGAAGTCACCTTGCTAGCTCTCTTTCCCTCAGCCCTTACATGCAGTCTGTCAGCAAGTCCTGCTGGATCTATCTCCAAAGTGGATACTGAACATTACCATAGCTCCCTATCTGTTGCTACCATCTTAGTTCAATCCACCATTATCTATTAGTCTTCCTACTGTCCTTTCTTCCCATAGTAGCCAGTGTTCTTTCTGAAACAGTAGGTCACACCACTACTGTTTAAAACTCTCCAGTGGCTCCTTGTTGCACTAACAATAAAATCCAAATACCTTAAAAAGGCTGGCGAGATCCTGTGAGATGTGGTCCCTGCTATCTCTCCAGTTCCACCCCCTGCCACTCTTGTCCTTGCTAACTCAGTACAAGAGACATTAGTACAGATAGCTCTTTTACCACCTCAGCTTGCCAAGCTTTTTCCCACTGGGGCTTTTGCAACACTTATTCTTTCTTCCGGGAATATCCTTCGCACCCACCTTGAAAGGCTGCTCCTGCTCTTTTTATTCGATTCTGAGCATGTCACTCCTCAGAAAAGGCCATCTCTGACTTCTCTCCATTGTTATCCAATTACCATGTCTTATTTTCTTCTTAGCACCCATTGCTGTCAAAATACATTAGATGTGTTTGTCCACACATCATCTTTCACCACTGAAATATAAATTCATTAGAGCAGGAATTCTATTTTCTTCTACATTGTACCCCCTAGTACCTAGAGAAGTATCTGGCATACAGTAAAGTTCAATAAATATTTGTTAAATTAATGTATATTGATGCTGATGTGATTTTACAAGGTCAATTTTAACTGATACCTAACTTCAACAAAAAGAACCCTCTGCCACTTGACTGAACCTGTACCTTTGGACGAGTTTCTTATCCACTGAGCTGTAATTTACTCATATGTAAAATGGTACTTTTTACCTCATAGGGCAGGTGTTGAGAATTAAATGAAGTGCATGACAACACAGTAAACACTTGAAAACTGAAGCTAAGTGGGTTTTTTTTTTTTTTTTACTTAATGTAAACATTACCATTACAAAGTGCCAAGTTTTTTGAATCTGGAAAAGTTCTTTTGGGCTTTTCTACAGATAGAAGAATGTTTTAGTCAAGGCTCATGGGTAGGGCCAGGCAAGGTGGCTCATGCCTGTAATCCCAGCACTTTGGGAGCCCAAGGCAGAAGGATCACCTTAGGTCAGGAGTTTGAGACCAGCCTGGCCAACGTATAGTGAAACCCCATCTCTACTAAAAATACAAAAATTAGCTGGTTGTGGTGGCGCATGCCTGTAGTACCAGCTACTTGGGAAGCTGAGGAGAATCGCTTGAACCCGGGAGGCGGAGGTTGCAGTGAGCCAAGATCATGCCGCTGCACTCCAGCCTGGACGACAGAGCGAGATTCTGTTTCTCAAAAACAAAAACAAAAAGCAAAAACAAAACCTCATGGGTAACATATTTTCATCTAAATTACCTGCCTTTTTATTTTTCAATAAAGTTTTTTCCTCTCCCTCGTCATTGTTCACGAAGAAACAGTGTTCTATGATTTCATTAAAGTCACTATAACATGAACTTCAAGATAGGAGGATGAAGTTGTGATGCTGATGCTCAGGGGGCATCTTGGCTCACTTGAAGCCAAGATTTTTCTGCACACAAAGTTCAGATCTGTGCCACAGGAAAAGGACTGCTCACGACACTGTCACAGCCATTCCTGAGGTCACAAATAGAGACAGCCTCTTGTACTTCCTCAAAAGGACTGTTTGACAGGGATTCTTCAAGTAGCAAAATAAGCAGACATCTCTTTCTGAAACTGATTCTTAATGAGCTATGAAAAATACATTTACATTTATCAGCACTGCTCATATGTTGTCTGCACAGCACTTATTACAGGAAAAAAGGAAGGAATCACCGATATTAGTATCATTTCTGTTTCCATATCTACTTCGCCTTCCTGCTCACCATTGCCACCACCCCCAGCACCTTCCCAGTATAACTGCTACATTGTGTCCTTATATTTTTGGTTGAATAAACAAAAGGACACTGAAGGCTGCCTTTGTAGCTTCCCCTATACCAAGTGAACATTTATTAAATAAGCTCAGCTACAGAGCATTTTCAGAAATCTCAGTGCAGCTTCATAATCATTAAGCAGAATATTTATCTAAAAACCTCTAACACTTAATACCAGTTACTCAGTATCTTAACCAACATGAAAATACAAAACAACCTTTTATTTTCAAGTAGTCCCCTCAGTTCTCTTTTATGATTAAGGGAACATTTGAATCTTTTCTAAAGTTTTTCCTTTTGATCCAAATCACTTCCCCTCTACTTTTCTAATGGCTTTATAACCCTTCAACAGTAGGTGGTGCCACAAATGCACAAAAGTAAATTTCTGTAGACCAACAGAACTGTCACAGCTTTATTTTGTGACTCATTATATTACAACATAGAAATATGCATTTTAATACTTCATATAAAGTTATTGACATACAAAATTTTTTTTCTTTTTTCCTTTTAATGAAAATGATTTAACTTAGAAATCTGTTGTGAAACTTTTGTCTAGTTTTGCAATTCTCAGATATTCCAGTGCAAAAATAGATCCCATTACAGACAGCGTAAAGTGCTTGGAATGAGGGCCAATGATGAACAAAGAGCACAAAAACAGCTTCATCTTAGGGTATAAGAAGGGATAATAGCATACCTAAATCCTTATGGAAATAGAAACATTCTAAGGGGGATGCAACAATTTTGAAAAGAATTAGAGCAATATTTCTACAGTATTACATTATTACTAGTAGATAATAACAAGGGTACAAATTAATGTCTCAATATCAAAGTGGTTCAGTATTACATGACACATGGCTCTTTGGAAAATATTTTACCTGATATATACAACCACAAGAAGAAAACACAGACAAATGGCTTTAGTCAATGATTACTATACAGTGAATGAATGATGTGCAACATTTAATAGTCACAAAGCATTTGCTTTCAGTACAGATAATGAAATACAGTAGTGTGAGGTTTGGTTGTTTTTTAACAATGAATTGTGCTGGGCATTTATGTATAGAGGGCTTATTATTTTCTTCTGTATTTCTCATATTCACAGTTGTTAATAAGTTTTCTGAGGTGTCCCAAAGATGCAAAAGCAGAAATTTTTGAACACGTATTTTGAGAATTTCTGAAACTCACATAGGTACATTCCACAGGGAATATACAGAAATTTTGCTTGATTGAGTATAGAGTTGGTAAAAATTTCTACCACAATTAGGTTTACACAGGAAAATGTAAAAAATTACTATTTTAAAAGGTAACACAGTATTAATGAAGATGTATAACTATAGATTGTTTCTAGCTTCAGAAGAGGTCCTTTCAATCTGTATTAAAATGTTGTGTTTTCTTCAAAATAGTTCACAGTGCCTTTTGATTTTTTAAAATATGGCCTTGAAATCAGAGGAACCGAAGTAAGGAGTTGCTCATAGATTTACTATAATGAAGAATTAGAATACGATTTTAGTAAAATGAGGAAACCATAACTTTGATTTTGAAAAATATTAAATGAGGAGAAATTATTCTATAAATTCTGTATTTTTGAAGATACTGTAAAATGCAACGATGCCATATCACTAGTTATTGGAAATATGCCTTCATTACTTATATTTAAAATCAATATTGACTTTAACTTCTAAAACAATCATTTTTTTCTTTTTCAGCAGTGGGTTATATAATATTCTGTAAATTTAAAAAATATAGAAAGATTAATTTGAAATCTGAAGTCTTACACCTTTAGCGTTAATATTCAAATTCTGGAAAAAGTGGAAGAAGTTAGTAATGATATTGAAAGATCACTTGAACTTCCCCAAACAATAGTTCTCTCATATTTTTCTTTTCTCTCAAGACAGTTAACAGTAAGTATTAGTGAAACAGTATTTTTACAAATGTTTACTGACTAGAAAAATAAGACTGGGTTAGAAAACTCTGAAAAATGCTCCATATGGAAGTATTTGTTGTTTTTATATTTTTCTTGACTAGTGATTGAAGAGATGAAAAATTTGAGACTGTCAGATTTAATGGGGTATCCAATATCTGCAAAGCCAATTATTTGAAGGTACTAAATGCCATAAACACAAGTTGTGTTTTTCAGCAAGTTTTCAAGCTAGCTGTTTTCCCTGTTGAAGAATTCATTGTTTAGACTTGTGACCCTTATACTTTCTTGGCTTTTGCATTGTTGCAATTAAAAAAAAAAAAAAAAAGGCTGCCCAGTATTGTTACAGTGGGCTCCTACAACCACAAGACAACCTATATTTGTAAACCAGTGAGCTGAATAACATGGCACAGGAAGTGTACTGAGACTTAATATCTCTCTAGTCTTATACGTACGTACATACTCTTTCAGCTACAGCATACACTCAAAAAATATTTGATTGATGAAGTGAGATTAAGAGTATCCTAAATGATCTGAAAGAAACTCAAATATAATGTCATGAGATCCTGACCATCACATTGCTTTCTAGGCACTAGTCATGACTGATATGCAAACTTACATAAGAAAATAAAAATAGTGGGGCAGTGGCCATACTCCTCTATACCACAGGGTTCTACAAAGAGGCCATTCTAAGGATTCAGAAGTCACTGATAGAACTTAAAATTCCAAATAACATTAAAAAGTACAAACATTTTTGTCAAAATACAACTCCATCTTTTCATTTTCTAGATTAATTCAAAAAGCCAGAAATAATACACTTGTGTCAGATAAACATCTTGAGATGCAGTGTACCATGTTAGCAGACAGTCAGGACAAATGGGCACAGGCTTCCCTAGGTTTGAACGCACAATCTCTTTAATCCCATGCCCTGGCTTCAGCAGCTTGCAGCCCCAGCAGTTTGGCTGTTGATTCTTTGCCTCTTACCAGGATCTAAGTATATTTAAGAGTCTCATAAGGATGACCCTGTAGACCCATGGCTCGAAGCATAGGACAATATAACAATGGAACCAAGTTTCCCGTGCCTGGAGACACCCACATTTTTGTTGCATGTTACTGCCACCAGAACAGCTTATCAGAGGGAATCAAAGCAGGATGTTAGCCACGCATGGCACCATTCTGTCAACTGATATTCAATGTTGATAGACTCTGAGCAGAGCAGCTTTCACAAAAGTGAGCATGACACACCATGGTGCTTCAAACTTTCTGAAAAACTTGGCACTAATAACTCTGGCACACTCATTGCCAGCAATGGATGTGTCACCGGGAAACCAGTCTCCTGGGCATGGCATGGCTTAGTGAATGAGGATGTGCATTACCTTTTGATTTTGATCAATAATCGCTGGCCATGATTACTTGATGAATTATTGTTGCAACCCCAATGAGAATACACAGGAACAAAAAAAAAAAAAAAAGTGTGAGTTCAAACCCATATGTCCATTGGGTTCCATAATAGAGTTTCACATAGGTATAGGTAAAAAACTAAATTCAAGTCTTTCACTTGAGAGCCATACAAGACATAGGCTACAAAGGCACTGCCCCTGTAATGGAATTTTGTTTTCATTGCATTGAATTGCATTGCATTGAATAGTATCAGTACAGTATCCAGTTTACTTCTTCCCACATCAACTTCTGGCTCTTTTCTCCACAACACTTCACATGGTGCAAAGGAAAGTCTAGTTCCTCTTTACTTTCAGCCACCCCGTATGAACAGGATTCTTCATACATAGCTTTCTTTCACTTTCTCATCCTGTAGAAAAGATGTGAGAACTGCAACGTCCACTACTGTCTGGTTTTTGTGTAATGAGAGGTCTTTTAAGTGGTCATCATCACTTTGGTCCTTGGCAAAGTTCACAAATACCTGTTAAAAGATTAAGATGGACCTTTATAAATACCACTCAACTTGCTCATTCTTTATTCTAGTTCTATTTTTCCAGATGTTGAAATTAGGTCAAGTAGGAGCATACAGAATTACATAAATGGATTAACTAGAAAACTGTGTGTGAAGGAGGGAAGAATACTTGAAAAAAGCAATAACAACTTAAAAATAGACTTTTTTTCCCCCCTTGAAATGGGGTCTTGCTCTGTCCCCAGGCTGGAGTGCAGTGGCGAGACCTTGGCTCACTGTAACCTCCACCTCCTGGGTTCGAGCAATTCTCCTGCCTCAGCCTCGCAAGTAGCTGGGACTACAAGTGCGCACCACCATGCCCAGCTAATTTTTGTATTTTTAGTAGAGACGGGGTTTCACCCTGTTGGCCAGGATTATCTGGATCTCCTGACCTCATGATCTGCCTGCTCCTCAGCCTCCCAAAGTGCTGGGATTACAGGCATGAGCCACCACGCCCGGCCAAAAACTGACTTTCTATATCGCCCCCCACCCCTACATCACCAACTGCTCAGTCATCCATTTACTTTGGCACATACGGTCTTGATTAAAGGGAAGAGGGAAGAAAATATTTACTGAGTACTTCTTAAGTGTCAGGACCTATTTGGTACTTTTTTATCTAATTTAAATAGGATTAGGCACCAAGTAAAATGCCTGGCCCATGGTAGGTGCTCACTAAATGGTAGTTTTTATGGTTATTATTACAGTAAATTCTCACAATAATCCTATAGAGTACATAGGCATCATCTCCCTTTTCAGGTTCAGAGAGGTTTAGTAAAAAGCATAGCTAGGAATAGTAGATCAGGAATTCAAGCACCAATTCAAGATACAAACTGCTCTTGGACCTATGGGCGGGAGTGTCGGGGCAGGAATCCACACCCTGAGAAGTAAATCTGTTTTGACACTCAAAGCTTACTTGGTCAAGTGTTGTCTGAGAAACAGAGTAGTCTTCTATGTGGAGTCGCTTTTTGCTCTGGGAGAGGATGCTGAATATCCTGGCCAGAGAAGATAATGAAGATGGAAGCTGGTATTGTAGCATGTTCCGGTGTTTCTCTTTTAGAACACTTCCAGGAAATGCAAGTCCAAAGAAATCCTGGACAGGCTTCAGGTCCGGGTTGGACCCTGCTATTCGTACAACTATTGTATAACCATCTCCAAACCTGAAAGCAGGAAAAAATACCCAAATGGAGGATCTCCAGAAAACTATTTAAAAGAATACTGAACCCTGGGAACCCAACTTGTGCCATGAAAAAGGGCGGCCCCTGGCAGGCCCAGAAATAAGTTTCTGAGAGAAGGAACCAGTTATCATTTACTAAATACTTATTTTATGTGAAGCACCATGCCATGTGCTGTAAATACATGATCTCCTTTAATCCTCACCTGGACCCATGAAGTCTGACAGATGTTACAGAGAAACTGAGGCCCAGGGAGTTAGTCACTTGCCCATGGCTCAGAGCTCATAATTGGTAGGGCCAGGATGCAAACCCATTTGTGTTTGACTCCAAAGCTTGCGCTCTCACCAGTACTGGCACATGTAAATTTTTTTCATTTCATCTATAGCACAAAGCTAGGAGGTAGATCTTCCAGGGAAACTAACTCTTACAGTAGTTAAGTCACTTGCCCAAGAGTCACAGAACCAGTAAATGGTAAAGACAGAATTTGAATGCAGTTCGGACTTCAAAGCCCTCATTCTTTCCACTATACTGTTTTGCTCAGTTTTATTTCCCTTTATGTTAGAGGCACCATTTATATACTCACAAAAGAATAAATATCAAGCCTTCTCACTAGGCACTATCCCAAAGAAATTATCTTTATTACCTATTTTTTAGATGCTGGACACTGCCAAGGCACCTGAACCTTCCATTGACCATGATTGCCATCCTAGTGCAAAGAGCTTCACATTCTTCCATACTGCGGTAAAACAGAAAGAGGTTTTAGTTTTAGAGAGATTCTCTGTAACCATGAGAACATCACCATGACTTCCAGCATTCCAGCTTCCTAGGGAATTGTATTCTGTTACAAGTACATGTGGATATAGGGATGATGCTGTTCAGTGTAGTGGTGTTTACAATTGTGAACAAGTTGGAAATAATCCAAATGTCTACAAAAGGGGGAATAGTTAAATAAGAGTATATCCTAATGGAATACTATCCAGCTATAAGAAATGACACCTAAATGCACTGACTTGGAATAATGTTTACAATATATTAAGTGAAAAAGAGCAGTATTTATACTGGGCTTGCATTTTTGTAAGAATATGCATATATAATTTCAGGTAATAATTGTTTTACTCTTTGCTTTTCTGTATTTTCTAATTTTTACAAAATGATCGCATATTCTACTTGGAAAGTTAAAACATCCCACAGTGAGGAACCCAAGACTTTACTACGGACCTATGAGATGTAAGCACTACTGATCTCCCCTCCTTGACAACACTTAGGGCACAATTCCACAAGAACCGCCGGGCTTTGGGATCCATGCCTGTGGTGGGTTCATCCTGTAATTAGAATAAAATAAGTCTTATTTGCTGGGGGGAAAAAAAATCAAAGATAAATTTGTTTTTAAATGCAGAAGCATCTTTGAAACAGCTTAAATTTTAACTTGCCATTCTAGTTATTTCTTGATGAATCAAAGAATTAGAGTAACTTTCAAATTCATTTGTAAACAAGGTCATTATTATAAATGTCTTATTGATGCAGGAAACTCAAATATTCTGAGTACTTTTTTATGTAATTAAATTTCTCCAAATAAATAGGGAAGGAAAAAGGCCATTTAGTTGTAATTATCTTTTCATGACTGATAAGTATATACAAAACAACTTTTTGTCTGAAACCTCTATTGAAGTCAGTATAAGATTGGGGTGAAATTCCTTTTTTTTTTTAATTCCAGCTCACTCAGATTACCCTAGTATATTGCAACTGTTAGCCTTACAGAAACAAATTCCAGACCGAGGTGGAATACATAAAAGCCTCAAAGGCTTCTTCCCGTAATAACATCAATGCTCTTATCTACAGAAGAAAAAAGGTCAAGGGCCACTTCCCAGTCTGATCTGTTTTTCATCTATCCGTGTGTAAGGAACTATGACCTAGTTGCTACCTTGGGGATTTTAAAGCTGTGTCCACACTCTTCATTTTCAGGGAATGAACACAAAGATGATTAGAAAGAATGTTCCAGAGAAAGATCAAATCACATATCCAGCCTCAATCACGCTAAGAAACAAAGTGCTTGGAGTGCCTCTATTTGGGAGCATCTGCAGGCATGGTACAGCCACCCCAGTGTGTGCCAAGGGAGAAGCTTCCCTCTGCTTTTCCAAGGTTGCTCTGCTGTCCCTGGGGGAAGACAAGCCAATCATACAACAGCCCTGGACATATAGGACTTTTGAACAGTCATGTTTTCCACTCAGGCCAGAACAACAGTTTTCCATCCACAGTTATACTCACCAGAAACACCACAGGAGGCCCGCCGATCAAAGCCATGGCTGTAGAGAGCTTGCGTTTGTTGCCTCCACTATAGTTACCAGCATATTTTTCTCCATACTTCACGAGGCCCAGTTTCCGAATCGCCCACTCACCAACCTACAGTGATAAAAAGCACCTTGACTTTGGTCTGGCTTGGGAATTTTATCATGCTGTCCTACACATACATGTATGAAAGTTCTTTCACTGAGTAGGACTAGATTCTATAATCATAACCTGACAACTGGTGAGGAGCCAAAGCAGGGAGAAGGGACTCGTGTGGTGGGAGCAGCACTCCCTCTCTGCCCACCCAGCCCTGCCCCACCACCGTTACAGGTTTCCACCCTGAAAGCAGATACAAAGAACCAGCATTTTGTGCTGCTGCATTCATGAGGAAAAACAGCCTGAAGTCAATGCGTGTGGAAAAGCCATAAGGTATATATTGTCAGGATGCCAAAGGAGACAGGCTGGCTTTCAGGTGCCCACAGTACCTTGCCAACTTCTTTCTCTGGGACTCCTCTCAAAAGGGCAAAGAACTCCACGTGTTCTCTCCCAGTCAACAGCTCTGTGATGGCATCAAACTGAGGGCAGTAGCCCATGTTCTGATGTACTTCATGGATGTTTGATAAGATACTGCAAAGGACAAGAAAACTACTTAGATTTTAAGCAGGTAGAGATACTCTGGTTAGACAATCTGGCCTAATGTTCCTGTAAAGTATGCTTCTCCATTACAAAGATACCAATACATCTGCTGCTACTTGAAAGCACAGCCTTTCTGCCCCCAGGATGCTAGCTCTTCCTGGCAGGCAGGGTTCCTGCCTCTACCCTCCCCAGTCCTTGCACCTCCCTGGCTCTCTGAACACTTCAGTCTGCAGGTGCAGTCCCATTTCAGAATTTCTGAGGTCATGCCAACCACTGCACATTCTTTACCAACAATCTCAGTCACACTACCCCAGGGCTTTAACGCTAAGGCCCCATCCTAGACTTCACTCATATGCACCATTCACATGCACCAAATGAGAAGGCCCAGAAATTTTGAGTGTGAGCAACACAGAACCTAGAGACACAATTTATGTGGTGGTGGGGTGGCTTTGGGGTTCTATGAAGCCAGTCAAGTGAAGAATCACATGTGAGAGAAGTTCAGTGTTCACGTTCCAGACTGATGACTGCACCTCAGCCACAGCGGCATTGCCATGAACTTGGCCTTCTGGCAGCATTCATTCCTCTCTGTGTATCTAATTAGCACCCCCAGGGTCAGCCTTTTTCAGAATTAGGATTGAGGCACACGTGGACACCGTGCCAGGCCCTCACAGCTATACCAACCAAATCAGTTCTTACAACCAGTCCCTGTGACAAACCTTACTATGGGCTGGTTATTACTGCCACTGCTATATGCGTCAGGAGCTTGGTACTAGGAGCAAGCCTAGGAAAGCAGTTGTGCAGCGCTAGGCCTGCTATTCCCAGAATGTCTGTTCTCTTAGGATTCCTTTACATTGCTACTGCAAAAATGTAAGAGACAGGAGAGGAGATCATGAATACATTAATTTCCTTGCTCTTTTCAATTTTATTGGCTATCCCCCTGTCCAGTGTGTTCAAATTGTGAGTCATTGTTCATTAGTGGTTTGGGAAATAAATTTAGTGGGTCATGACCAGCACTTTTTTAATGACGCAGTATAAGGTAGAATAAGAAATAGCAGAGTGCACTACAATTAGTAACAGTAGGTACTGCTTTATGAAACTTTAGGTTATACATGTGTCTACATGTCTGTGTGTACATACTAGGTTGAGATATAAAATGTATTTCCCACAACGGTCATGGTCAAAAAACTCTGAAAGCCACTGCCTTGTACTATCTCTCCACATAATAAGTCCAGAGAAGCCGGGCGCAGTGGCTCATGCCTGTAATCCCAGAACTTTGGGAGGCTGAGGCAGGTGGATCACCTGAGGTCAGGAGCTCGAGACCAGTCTGGCCAACATGGTGAAACCCCATCTCTACTGAAAATACAAAAAAATTAGGCAGGCATTGTGGCGGGCACCTGTAATCTCAGCTACTCAGGAGGCTGAGGCAGGAGAATCGCTTGAACCTGGGAGGCGGAGGTTGCAGTGAGCCAAGGTCGCGCCATTGCTCTCCAGCCTGGGCAGTAAGAGTGAAACTCCGTCTCAAAAAAAAAAAAGCCCAGAGAAGCCCCACATATTTAAAGTACTTAGAGTAACATTATCTAAGAAGCCTATAAAATGTAGCTGTATTCCCAAAGATCAGATTGCTTTGTGACCTGTGCAGTCTCAGAAAATGGCCTAACGGTGGCTCAGTCAATTTGTATGCTCTTTAGAGAGGGCAATTTACTTTGTAGGAATTGTTCCTGAGGAAATAATAAAAGATGTATACAGGGACATATTTACATAGTGAAAAATGGAAACTAATGTGTCCAACATTTATAAGGAATTTATTAAATAAATTATAGGTACATGTACATAGGGGGATTTTATGTAGCAATGTAAAATTCCACATCTTAGGAAATGTAACCCACTGGGAAATATTCATAATACACTCATTAACAATAAAAACTAATTTTAAATTCTACATACAGTATGATCTCAATTGTATGGCACATTTATATGTGTATATAAGACAGATGTGGGGTGATGGAAAAGTTCTAAAACTGGATTGTGGTGATGGTTGCAAAACTCTCAATTTACCAAAAATCACTAAATTATACTCTTAAAAAACAAGCAAATTATATTGTATGTAAATTATACCTGAATAAAGCTGTTAAAAGAAGAGAATGAGACTGAAAGGAAATGTAAATTGTGATTATCTCTAGATATTGAAATCATGGATGATTTTATGTGCTTCTTTACCCTTTACTATATTTCAACATTTTTATGAACTCTAAAAATACCACTGTAATCAAAAATAACAACCTATTTCTTTAAATAAATTAAAAACAAAGTCTTTGCAGCAAAATACAAGCCACTTCTTTTCTCACCTATTTTTGTTAAGGAAAGCATCTCCTCTGGTAACAGTGGTATCTCCTGTTAACATCTTGAAAGTTGATGATTTTCCAGCCCCATTAACTCCCAGGAGCCCAAAGCACTGAAAAGGAAAGATTAAGTTGTATAAGCAAACTCTAAAAACATGAATATAAATGCCCCTAACACGTAACTACCTCAAACCTTCAATTCTTAAATATCAGAGAAGAATCAAATATTTTCTTGGTTTTAACACATCGTATAGATATTTAAATATGTATTTCATAATGGGACCATTTTAAGTGTGGCTGTATTTATAAATATTATTTGAGTTGTCAAGTTGAGGCCAAAGTTAATGTGTGAAAAACAGTAATGAAAGCCAGCTAGCCAAATTGCACCACCTACTCTGGCAAAAGGGCATAAAAGAACACAAACGGAAACCAGAAAGGAGAAAATCTATTTTTAAAAAACTATTTGAATGTCATCACCATCCCAAATGGATCACAAAAGCATGTTTTAGATGTGCGTGCTTTTTCTGTTTTTGTTGTTGACATGAGTCTCACTCTGTCACCAGGCTGGAGTGCAGCAGCGCAATCTGGGCAACCTCCCCCTCCTAGGTTCAAGCAATTCTCCTGCCTCAGCCTCCCGAGTAGCTGGGACTACAGGAATGCACTACTATGCCCAGCTAATTTTTGTATTTATAGTAGAGATGGGGTTTCACCATGTTGGCCAGGATGGTCTCAATCTCCTGACCTCGTGATCCGCCCACCTCGGCCTCCCAAAGTGCTGGGATTACAGGAGTGAATCACTGCGCCCAGCCCCATGCTTTTTCTTAAATTGTATTGGATTCTCTGAAATCATTCTCTTGACATACAGGGTCCCTCTCTTCTCGATGACTAATTGCTCCATCCTGGCATAAATACAGAAGCCTTTAAAATCCACTTTTACCTCTTAACGAGCATCGTTGCTTGATTGGGTAGAGATAGTCTGAACTAATAGGGACAAACGCAATATAGACAAAGTGTCTTTACCTCACCAGGAGGAATGCCCACGCAAATCCTGTCAACAGCAGGCTTCCGCTTCCTTCTATATATCTGCAACAAACAAAATGTAAACATTCATAAGCCTCAGTGACTCACAGCTCTCCCAAGCAACTGTGGAAGGCAGGACTATAAACCACATACACTGCAACATAAGACTTGTCAATAACCCTAAGCCATAGGCATATTTGATGTGCCAAGAGCCTTGGTCTGCGTTTGTGGCGACTGGCTTCTGAATGATTCTGAAGCTCAAAATAAAAGTGAACTTACTTTTTAACCTGTCTTTTTAGAACCGTATCATTCATTATTATCTACATAATTTTTCATCTATTCAACATATATATGTATTGCAGGTATTTTAAAAATTAAATTCCACAGAGTAGAAATTTGTAATAAAAATATTGCAAATACTGTACAGATTCCAAAAAAGTAAAATTTGGAGATGCTGGCATCTAGAGGGCTGATATAGACCCTCTTGAACACAGGCAATATATCAGCTTTTTGGACTATGAAACTCAAACTCAAAATCAACCATTTATTCTCTCTACCTCAGTTTTGACTAGATATACAATATTAGTATGTTTTAATAACTAACACATAAATGTAAGCATATAAAACCAATGTATTCGAGAATGGGAATTCATATCACAAAAGAATTCTCAGTAAGAATTCTTTAAGAAGTCTCCATGGTGTTTTTAAAATAAAATTGACAGAACCTTGGTATAGATGTACATTTTGGGAACACATGCCCTTTTATTAAGCAAGTCAGCAAACTGCTGGGTTACAGCACATAAAGCTGAAAAAAACTGAAGATGAGCTATTGTAACCTGTACTCTCTCACCTTCGTCAACTCCTTGATTTCTAAGATGTCATTCTGGCCTCCACCATCAAGAATTCTCTGTCTTTCCCGCCTCACATCTTCATCTTCATCATTCAGAGGAGATAGCTTTGCATTTACAGGTCTTGGGGGAAAAAACAAGAAAAATGAACCTTTCAAACTATTTTTCAGGACAAAGATTCAGTCTCTAACGTAGTATTATAAAACCTACTTGCCACAGTCTCCAGGATGGGCAGGGAGGGGGCTGCGGGATGCCCACATCAGGAAAATCAGTTTTATCACATATTTTGAGTTCAGTTCAATGCAACCCCCATTGGTGAGTGTTTCCCTGTGCGCCTCCTCTGTGACCCTCAACCAGGTGCTCCACGGGTTCTAAGAAAAAGCTCACCTGGGCCTGATGAAGAATCTGTACTGGATCAGAACAGTAATGAGGAAGAACACCACCCCTTCCACGGCCATGGCGAAGAGGTTTCGTCCCACCAAGTCCCAAGATAATGGTGACACAAAGCGATTCTCCCCTAGTAGACACAATGCAGAGATCCGGTCAGAATGGAGGGATCAAAAACCATGGCCCTTCCTCAAATTTGGGCCTATGTTCCTTAAAATTCACCGATCTTCCAATAAACACAAATGGCTATCACCCATGACAAGGAAAAAAGAGTAACAAGAGAGTGATCACTTTCCAAGTCTGATTTGGGAAAACTTTTTATGACCCAGTATCAATCAGAATTTCAGAGCCAATGTGTATTCGATTTGTAACTTCACTGAAGATATCTAGTATTTCTTTTTTTAATGAGACATGCCAAAAATCCTTTTAAAAAGGCAAACGACCCAAGTAATTTTCACAGTCAGTATTTTTAATAAATTCTAAGTTTTAGTAATAATAAATATCAGAAAGCACTTTAAGCAGATTCCCCTTTCAGTAGCATATATCCTAGTGAATCAATTAAACCACTAGATTCAATTAAATCTAGTTCCATGTAACCATTCCTTAAATTCCTTACATATCTCCTTTGTAGCCCAAGTTGCAAAAAGCCCCTCTTCTATGAACAGTAAATAACATGGCCCATTTGACTATATTATCTAATGGATGAATAATAATCATATGGCTACCGGAGAAATATTTTTAACCATTCTAAAGGTAGAAAAAGATGTAATACATTATAATTTTATAGACTGTGTAAAAGATAATAAATGACCTCATCTGCAGGCACATGATTCGCCTAAAAGAGCCAAAGTTTGCATCTTTCCTTCTGATTCCCTGATCACCTAATTCTCAAAGTTATGGTTTGACTTTTCCAGTGCTTCTAACCAACCCAGACAGTGGCATGAGCCAGTGGATCCAAGCAAATGCCACTATTTTCCTTACCTTCAAAACTGCCCTTTCACTTTTCTCAATGCTATCAGAGACACAGACAAATGGTTGTGTCACAAAACCCATGCCACAACCAGCTGTGTTGGCATGAGCCCTGTCACTGGGCATGGGGGTGGGGGAACATCCTGTGCTTAGTCACCTGCTTCTTTCCAAAACAAAGTTCAGGGTACCAAGGCCTATGCAGAGTGCCATCTCCATTAAAGCATCCTACAGCCACTGCTTCACTCACCAAACCTTTCCAGGGCATCAGCCATTGCCTGGTTTTTCACCATGTCGATGAGCCCTCGTCCCAGGCAAAAATGTGGGAAGATCAAGAACACGGACTTCAGGATATCATTGATATTATTCAGCTTCTAAAAAAAAAAAAAAAAAATGGGAGGGAAGGGAGGGTGAGGGAGAAGAAACGGGTGTCATTCATGGTTTATCCTAAAAATGTATCAAGTTCTGAAATATGGGAGTGAAGAAAAAATTTGATTCTCTAGGGACAAACCAGACCTTTTAATTCAGATACCAATTAAATAGCAGCAGGCATAGCTGATGATATGTAGCAATAAAATTCTATTCTTTAGAAAATCTGGAGAAATGCTCTGAGTATGGAGAAATAATGAATAAAGCTTAGAAACAGGCTAGATTTAATTAAAGCAAATCCATTAAAAATCCCTTAGCATTTGAAAAGCAAATTGCTCATGTCTGGGTCAATATTTGAGTTTCAGGATTTTGTCAGAATTTTAGAAATTCTTCTCAAATACATCAGAACTTATGATCCCACAAGGCAACAGTGGCCAAATATCTACCAACTGAATAAGGGGCTATACGCTGGATGCACTGTGCTAGGGCATGGGAGAGGCAAAATTATTAAGAAACAGACTCCACTCCGAGTAGGAAAAGTATGTAAACAGGAAATTACCATGTAAGTGGATGTACGTTGTACTGGAGGCATGGACTAAGGACTCTGAGAGCACAGAGAAAAGAGAGAACACCTCCCAGCAGGTAAGGAAAGCTTCACATTTTAGCTAAATCTTGAAGGGCAAGGGATATACTACCAGACCCTGTGACAGAAGAAGGGCATTTCAAGCCAGGCCTACAGGAGCATGGTGGTTGGAGGCAACTCATCTGAAGCTTACAGCTGGGAAAGGGTGTGGTGGGTATGGACAGGAAGAGTTGTGCAACTGTAAAAGGCCTTGTGTGCTGTGTTTGGACAAAGGCAATGACAACCGGAATGGAGAGGAAGCCTTATTTTAGAGGTCCATACCTGGAAGAACTGACAACATAACCAGTTGAATGTGGGAAATCTGCAACAGCAAAGCAAGCATCTAGGATAACTCTAAGAGCCAGCTTGGGCAACCGAGTGGATGGTAGTGCCACTGAGTGTGACAGGGATGGCAAGAAAAGCATTAAGTTCCAAGGGGAAAGAAAACTAGGACATATCCAGGTTGGGGTATCTATATACTATCTAAATGGAGCAATCCACTAGGCAAGTGAGAATTTGAGATTAGAGTTCAAGGTTATGATCAAGGCTAAAGGCATTGATCTTAGAGATGACAATAAAAACACCAAGAGAGGTGATGGTAAAAGCCTTAGGACTGAATGGCGTCGCCCAGCTCTCATGTGTAAAGTGGAAGGCAGAGGAGCTACTCTTGGTAAGAGCAACATTGAAAAAAGAAAGAAGTAAAAAAAACTGTCAAAAGAAACTGAAAGGCTTGACCAGCAAAATGTAAGGCACAGCAAGAAAGAAAGGTGCTTTGCCTTCTCAGGGAAGACAGACTCTGAAGACAGGACAAGGCAGTCAGCAGTGTCAATACCACTGACAAGTGGAATAAGATCACAATTAAACACTGTCCTCTGGCTCCCAGAGATGCTCATCCCAGCAGGAGTGTTCTCTCTGCATGACTCACATTGTCGGTGAACAGCTCCAGCACAAAGGTGGCCACGCTGCCATTAATGCCAATGAAGAGGTTCACGCTGGTGAGCACCACATAGGCTGTGCTGGGGATCTTGAACACAAAGGAGGCTGGGTACATGAGAGGTGTGATTGACCACCTGTTGAGACACAAAAAGATAAGTGTCTACTGAGAGTCCCTGCCCTCCTTCTGACACTGGGCACCAAATGCCTTATCCACTGTGCAGCTCCCTCACTCAGAGGTGACTTACCCATACAGCAAAAGTAGAAGGGCTAGCACAGGCAGATTGGTGGAGGACACATAGGACTTCTGCTGGAAGCAGATGAAGATGATAATGACCAGTGTGGCAGGGACAACGTAATTGCACTAAAAGTGAAAACAAAGACATCCAGTTCACCCCTAAATCAAATATACAATGCATCACACAAGTTTTCACCATTATCAGACAAGAAAGGGCAGATAAACATATTGGAGAGTAACTCTGAATTAATGAAGCCACATAAACTATTAATCAAAATACCCGACAATACATTTTGACAAGCATTTTCCCCTTGGCTGATTTTATAAACTACATGCCCTTTCTGTCTTTCCAACAGTCAAGCCAAGGTGTCACACTCAGTAAACTTACTGAACGATGGATTCCCAGTCAGAGTAATTTTAATTTCACAGGCAGCAAATAAGCCTCTATTCTTCTTCCCGAAGATGACTGTGTCTGTTTCGTCATTAATGCTATATTATAGTCTGCCCAAGTTCAATCTCACATGTAATCTATTTATGAGGTAACTGCTCATAACATGAATGTCAGAATTGTTTCATCGCACTGAGAATAATTTTAAAGTCTGTCCTGACAGTGTATCAAGCAGTAAAATGCAGAAATAAAGACTTGACGATAGGACAATTATGAGAATTCACAGCTGGCAGAGCAAAGCACCAGCAGGGAAGTGATAGTGGGGCTTGTCAGCCGCTAGAAGAACTGCAGCTTCAGACTACAGGGCTCTGCCTCAGTCCAATCCTACTTGATGTGTTTATCAACAACTTAGATGAAGACATGCTTCTAGCAAATTTCAGGAGCTCTAAAGCAGGGAGGGACAGATAATACCCAGGAAGACAAGAGATGGGTTCAGGGACTTGACCTTTCATCTCTGAATCACCTATGCCTGGCATAAGTCAGACACACAGCACTCAGTCTGTGTTTACTGAAAGGAGTAATTACTGAATCAAGATAAAACAAAAATAAAACCCATGTAATTTAATATGGATAAATATAAAGTTTAGTTTCAAAAAAATCAAATGAATTTGTATAGAATGAAGGAGACCCGAATTTCACAATCATTTGTGTGAAATGGAGGTTTTGGTTTACCACTAAGTTGCCAGTAAGACGGTGCTCCTTCCAAAATGCAAAATCTTTGTGCTGCAGTAATAGAAGTGTGAGCTAAAGATCAACTCCCTCTGGACCCATAACCATTCAGACCACAGCCTGAACACAAGGTTAATTCTTGGCTTTGCTTTTGAAAACGGACATTCACAATATACAGCATGGCCATACAAGGACAACCGGATCAGAAGAGTGACACAGTCTAAGGGGCTTGGTATAAACAGCAAAGATCTCATCATCATCTCCACCATCATTGCTCACATTTGTACAGTGCTTCGGAGGTTACAAGGTGTATTCTCATATATCATCTTATCTGGGTAATACTCAGGTTAAATGAGAGTATGAGAGTTATTTTTAAATATCCAGGGACTTGTTCGGTGGGAGAAGAATTAGATTTGCTCTGTGTAGCTTATAATTAATAGAAGTTACAGGGAGATATATTTCAGGGAGATATTGTAAAGTAGAGTTGAAATATAATTAGAACTTCAGAATTCCTTCAAATCCCCCATATTGGTCCAAATAGAAGCAATATATTGTGGCTGGCACAAAAACATATTTGCAATGGATGGATAAGCTGCTGATAAAATGTACAGAGTTTTCAAATGACAGATGGCTTTCCTAGTAAGGCAAAGAACATTCTGACTCTGGAGGTTAAAACCCATCAGAGAAGTTAGAGGCATTGACTTGGAGTTTTGACTTGTATCTCTCTGATTCTTGGGAAAGTTGTCACATAGGAACTTAAGTGGTAGTGGTATTAATTTTCATCATTGTGTACAGAATTTTCCCTCTGGTGTGACATGAACTCTGGTACCCAATGCTGTGTTTGGTGTCATGAAAGTGATCACCTGCCTCTGGCTATTTCTTTTTCATACATCTTTAGAGTAGCTGGAACATTTCCTGATGATAGCCAGAGCTCTTTCTTTCTTATCCATATCAATCCATGGCCCTGACAGACATCAGAAAGATACAGCAGGCCTGTGTCCTTACCATATCCCAGACAAAATTAGAGAGCCAGTAGATGACAGGCTTCACTCCACTGATGAACTGCAGGTGTTTTGCTTTGCTGACCCGCTCCTGGATCAGGAATACGACAAAGCTGGCTGGGACGAAGGACATTGCAAAGATGACACAGATGGACACAAGGACATCCACTGATGTGGTCATCCTGGAGAGAAAAAGCGTGTGAAAATCTGAGGGGTCTTTGATGCAGTTAGGGCTCAATCAGTGAGGACATGGACACACAGACAAACACACACGTACACACACACAGAGATATCTGAGGCACAGCCCAAGGAAAAACATCTGTTCACCAGACACATTTTATTCAGGGTTAAGATGATCATTTTTAAGTCTAAAAATATGACAATGTAAATGCCAAACTGGTATTACTGAGGTCAAAAGAGTCCACTGTCACAATAAAACTAATGAAGGAAGTCAGAGTGGTTAATGGCATTCACTTTGGTCCACTGTTCATGACCTTGTAAGAGCAGTAAGTTGTAAATTTTCACACACAAAGGACTAGTGGGGCTTGAAAACTAAATGAGAGCAGAAATATTACTCTGTAACTACTCAAATAAATTAATATTTCTGGCTGTAAATCAACTTGAAAATAACAGTATGCAGCCTATTGATCTAACACATACAAAAATTCTGTCAGATTTTTATAAGAAGAATGGTCTCATAAGCCCATTACATGGGGTCTTGGTATAAAGATCCTAGTGTCCTATATTAGTATCCTGTAGGAGTAAAGCAGAAACAGGAACTGCCATGCTCCACATACAGGAAAGGTATCTAATGTGTGTGAAATATCAACTCTGTGCTGAGTGCTGGGCTTGGCAATTTACATGAACTGCCTCATTTAATATCATACATCTATAAAGTTTAGAGACCAGATTCAAACCCAGATCTGTATGACTCCAAAGGCTGCATACTTTAAACTAGCTCATCCTGGCTTTAAACTTCACACACACACACACACACACACACACACACACACACACACAGCTTAATTTAGGAATTAAAGATACAAGCTAATAAAAACATATTCCACCAAATTTAAAACAGTGGTTTTTAAACAAATCAAACTGATTAAACACTTATAATTAAATTATAATTTAATTAACAATTTTTGAACTCACTTTATATGAATTCACTAAATGTTACGATTTTTACATATCAGTGTCATTTTCTCTTCTGCAGTTCAAGAAGCCCAACCAGCCAATTCGTAAACTTATCACTTCTGCCCAGAGCCTGGATCAATCCAGATTTATCATAATATAACGGTCTCTGCAGCTGTTCCCCTACAATGAGATTCACATTTTTCTCCCCTTCTCCATAACCCTCTCCCTTGCCCCACTCCATCTATACAGACACAGCCACACTTACAGAGCCACCTCTGAGAGCTGCTGCTTGGTGAGATTCAGGGGATGATTGAAAGCAGTAATTCCATAATGGCTAGGGTTCTCTCCCTTTTGCAGGTTGGCCCGGAGAATGGCATTGTTGATGACATTCAGGAAAGAGCTGATTGCATGCCAGCCCTTGTTATTGAACCACACCTGAAAGAAAACATACCAGGTACAAGGTAATGCCCCCAAACCGGGCTCCTGCAGGCAGGTGCATACCCACCAACCATGCCCATAAACCTCAGAAAGAAATTCTAGTCACATACCAAGGCAAAACACTATGATCAGAGAATATGGCGAAGTAATTACAGTGTTCAGGACATAGTGATCACTGACTATGTGGGCAGGCGCTGTGGTGAGGACCTTATACCTTTAACTCATTGAATTCTCACAACAGTTTGGAAATAGCTATGATTACTGTCTCCATTTCACAGATGAGGGAACTGAGGTTTAGATAGGTTAAGTAACTTAGTCAAGGTTACCTGGTATGTCTGGTGGCAAAGCAAATTCTCTGAATCACTACACTACACCGTACTGCCTCACTGGTAAAGTTAATAGTTTGCTCTTTTCTGTTGTGAATGCCCCTGCCAACTTTACCATGAGTTGAAAGTACTCCAGGAAACATAAGGATTATTGTTCATCAAAAAGCTACTAGAACAAAGACAGCGGTTTACCTTGACATTATTTTTGGTGTCCAGTCCTGTCATAAATCTTCCCAAGCTGTTGAGAAATCGATCTGCAGAACTGTCCTGTAAACAACAGAAACCTGCCTCAGTTGTGACTGTTCACATAGATAAGGGGCAACAGTCAATCTGGAACCTGTGGACAACAGGACGGCCCTGTGAAGAGCAATGCCACTACCTTGTTCACTGAAATTAAATGTGAAGCCATTAAATAAACGGCTCCTGAGAACCAAGTGACTAGAAATCTACAGCAGTGATGCTGCCATGATGCCACAAGTCTAGAAGGAATCACAGAGAAATCCTGGGATGCAAAGCCCCAAGATTTTAATGTCTGGTTATCACGGTGGGGTGAGGACTCCTCAAAGTGCTCCACCGGCATCATCTGAAGAGCCAGAACCACGCTCTGCCTGCAGATGTGCCAGATACATGGGCCCATCACTCAAAAGCAGACTTGTGGACTCTAGGACTATCACTGCTGTCCACAATCCTAGGGTCTGTTTTATCAGAGCCCCTTAATTCTCACCTAAAAATGGGAAACCTGAGACACAGAGAAATGAAGTGAGTACTTATCAGGTCCTACAGACCAGCTTGCCAGCTTAAAAAAAAAAAAGATTCATTTCCTATTTAGTCAGTGATTGTTTCAGCAAAGTATGTTTGAAACCCAGTTTATTTACCAACTGACCAAATTTGTAAACCTGGTTGTTCTGAGAGCTTTTTTTGAGATGGAGTCTTGCTCTGTCGCCCAGGCTGGAGTGCAGTGGTGCAATCTGGGCTCACTGCAACCTCCGCCTCCCGGGTTCAAGTAATTCTCTCACCTCAGCCTCCCGAGTAGCTGGGATTACAGGCGCACGCCACCATGCCCGGCTAATTTTTCTATGTTTTTAGCAGAGACAGGGTTTCACTATGTTGGCCAGGCTGGTCTCAAACTCCTGACCTTGTGCTTTGCCCGCCTCGGCATCCCAAAATGCTGGGATAACAGGTGTAAGCCACCGCGCCCAGCCTCTGAGAGCTTTTAAATCTCTGGATTTAATTTGTTTTTTGAGATGGAGTTTTGCTCTTGTTGCCCAGGCTGGAGTGCAACGGTGCGATCTTGGCTCACTACAACCTCTTCCTACAGGGTTCAAGCAATTCTCCTGCCTCAGCCTCCCAAGTAGCTGGGATTACAGGTGTGTGCCACCAAGCCCAGCTAATTTTTTTGTATTTTTAGTAGATACGGGGTTTTGTCATGTAGGCCAGGCTGGTCTCGAACTCCTGACCTCAAGTGATCCACCCGCTTCGGCCTCCCAAAGTGCTAGGATTACAGGCATGAGCCACAGCTCCTGGCCTCTGGATTTGTTTTTGACCTACACTTTTAAACGTACAACTAAGTAATTCAGTTTTGTCTGGCTCAAATCGCTAAATGCCAAAGACGGCTCTGTATGCCAACATATTCAGAACAATGAGCTGCCAGGTGATCCGTTTAACCTGCCAACTACTCCTATATCCCAGCAGCTACATGCCCATTTTTCTGATACATCTTACGATAGATATTTTACCTTGGCCAGCTTTAGGTGTTTCTTCATTTGTTTGATGGCATCATTAACTTCTTGACTCGGAGGAAGTGCTTGAGTATTACTGACACCCAGGGAAAAGCCGCCATACCTAAAAGAACAGCCTGACATTAAAACCCAGACAGTGGGGTGCACAGTATCATCAGCAGCAGACTCAGTGCGAGTGTGTACAAGGTTCACTGAGTCAAATTCCTGTTCAAAGGAGGGCTAAATTTTGCCTCAGAGAAGTTACACGTCAGCTTCCTCTAATAAATGTTGGCAATCTCTTAACTCCCATGGTTTCTGCCCAGCAGGGAGGACCTGGCCTGATTACACACACAGTTAGATAGCTGAGACATTGAGGAAAGAATGGTGTTTCATCTCACAGATGCTCCTCCAACCCAGTGGCTCGTGTGTGAATGTGGGTCTGGAGGCAAGCAGATGGGGAGTTGGGAGAGTGGGAACCCTGCACTGTCCAGAGTAGGCTGCGCTGGCCTTATACACAGGCTCCGGCTCCTTTCTAGCATGAGGGCTATTATAGGGGCCTGCGTCTGCTCTGCCCAGAGATCCAGGGGTCCTGGCCCTTGGGGAAAAGGCAGAGAGAAAAGACGGAAATCAGTAACAAGGAGCCTTCGGGCCCCCTGACGTAGCCACATCACCTATCTCATTTTCCATGATGGACAAACTGGCTTCAAGAACTCTTCTGTCCCCAGTCCCACCTGTTCCTTCAAAACCCAGAAGGACAAATGGGTTGAAATACAGTGCAAAGAGATGGTTTTGGCGCTTCTTATTTCCTCTAAGACCTTTTTAGTCCCGTGCTAAATGCCTAGAAATTGTCCTTGAGTCCTTAAGAAGCCTCGGGAATCTGGTTTGGGGGGAAAGTACAAGTAGGTATTCCCCTCACAACACTACTTACTTGAAATCCCTAGACACCTGCAGGAGATTTCTGATTCTCCTCAAGGAAATCAGTATATCAAATATTTCAGAGGCCTCTGGAGGGGCTGCTGGGCACTGAGCCATGATGCTCTAGGCAGAAACTCTATAAAGCAGGCCTAATCTAAATCTGTCTGTGCCCCTGTGTGCTCCACATGTTCACAGGGCTTCTGTCCTCCTCACAGTGAGATGGCACCCACAAGTGTGTGAGTGACAAACAATCCCCAAGGCTTTCTTCAATCCAAGACACCTACAACACCATCCTCCCCCTGAGCTAAACGTGCCAGAAAGACAGCAACTTACCTAAACTCATTCACCCAGATCTTGTTCTTTAAGCTGCAGAGACAAAGAAACAAAAAATCAGTTCAAAGAAAGCACTGAGCCTATTCCTAATGATGCAAAAGGAGTAAATATCCACCTGAGGATATAAGGAACGGACAGAAATAACCCTAGAATCAGCTGGCCTTGTAGGGTTGTGCTAGAGAAAAGAAGCCTGTGTTCAGGCCTCTTCCAGCCTTCTCTCCATCATAAATACCCTATTACTTATATGAGAACCAGGCCTTGGGTTAAACCAATTTACAAACCACCTTATAGACCAAGATGTAACCAAACTAGAAGCTTTTTCTTTCTTTTTTTTTTCTTTTGGGAGATGGTTTCGCTCTTGTTGCCCAGGCTGGAATGCAATGGCATGAACTCAGCTCACTGCAACCTCCGCCTCCCAGATTCAAGCAATTCTCCTGCCTCAGCCTCCCAAGTAGCTGGGATTACAGGCACGCACCACCACGCCCAGCTTATTTTGTATTTTTAGTAGAGACAGGGTTTCCCCATGTTGGCCAGGCTGGTCTCAAACTCCTGACCTCAAGTGATCCACCCGCCTTGGCCTCCTAAAGTGCTGGGATTACAGGCATGAGCCACCGTGCCTGGCCTAGAAGCTTTTTCAATTAACAATAATATTTCAATTGTGGATGACATATGGAGAAATTATGCTTCTTTCTTAGAAACTCATGGTCACTATCACTCCAGCATGCCCATGCCATTTAAAGTCACTGAGATACTCCTAACTGAAAGACCCCAACTGACCAAGTTGATGGGAAGGAAACGAGAACAAACATTTGCTGAGCCAAGCATTCAACACTAGGCTGCCATGTCCTGGGAAGCTAGAAGGCTCTCCCAAGGCTGCAGAGCCAAGGCAGGCTCCTAAACCTTCCCAGAGCTCCCTCCATGAGACCACAAATTATCATGGAGTCCCCCATCAGAGAGTACCCAAGGCACTCTATGTACACCATTTAATTTAGTCCTCATGACAAACTTATAAGAGCAACATTAATATCACAATTTAGATAAACTAAGGCTTTAAAAGGATAACCAGTTACCTGGTCAAGTTGCTACTAAGTGGCAAAATTTGACGTTGAATCCATTTCTATTTTCATTCTAGACCAGGCTGCCTCAGCCTTGAAGCTGACAACTGAATGTTCACAGTCCCTCTCGTCATCTTTTCTAGTTTGGGATAATATCCTAAACTTCCAATAGACAGAATCAGGCCATAATCTGGCATTTCCCCCACTGTTTCAGTCTGTTATTTGTAGGTCTTTAATTCCTCTAATTAGTAATAATACGGCAGGGGCCAAGTTTAGTAAAAAGTCACCTTTTGGCTATGATCTGCACATACGTCTTCACCAGATAATCCGAAATGTTTCTTCCTGTCAGGTCCTGAAGGATATCTGCAGTGTTTTGTTTTCTCTGTCATCACATGAAAACCAAGCATACGGGTCTTTATAGACAAGAATTGAAACAGAAAACAAATCAAGGACAACAGTGACCATGTCCACAGTGTGACCGGAAACCTGACTACAGGTCCCAGACACTGCCCTCAGTCAACCAGCACTGAGACTTGGTTCACCCTGCCCTCGGCACTGGTAATTCACTTACACCAAGCCAAGGTCTTTCCCAAGAATTTATTCTGAACATCTAAACAATAAACATTGAAATGAGATTCTTTGTAGTCAAGAGATTTTTAGGAAGCACCATCATTCACTATGCCTAATAAATCTTCTGTTCACTGGAGTTATACTGATGACTAGATTAGCTGTTATTTTATTCATTTTATTTTTTGATATGGAGTTTTGCTGTGTTGCTCAGGCTGGAGTACAGTGGCGCAATTTTGGCTCCCTGCGACCTCCACCTCCCAGGTTCAAGCAATTCTCCTGCTTCAGCCTCCCAAGTAACTGGGATTACAGGCATGTGCCACCATGCCTGGCTAATTTTTGAATTTTTAGTAGAGACAGGGTTTCGCCACATTGGCCAAGCTGGTTTCGAACTCCTGACCTTAGGTGATCAGTCCACCTCGGCATCCCAAAATACTGAGATTACAGGTGTGAGCCACCCCGCACCTGGACTAGCTATTATTTTCAAGAGTGGTAACCAAGCCTTCTTTTAGTTCCTGTACTCATTTAGAATTGCTTGTCCTCATCCTGCAATTTGGTTGCTGATAAAAGCAGCAGAGAGCTATCATAAGCACTCCTCTTCCTGAAATTCTCAAGAAAAAAAAAATGGCTCAGGACTCCTTCCCAAACAGAGTCTCTAAGAATACCAGAGTTGACAAGATCCACAGGAGTTTTCTGGTCCAGCCTCCCTAATTCAGAGGTGAAGAAACAGGCCCAGGCCTGTCAAAGGCTACCAGCTCATTTGTTGCAGAGCCAAGATTGGAAGCCAGGCCTGCCACAGTCTGTCCTGTGACTTTACTGCTGTGGGACAGGCATGGGCACAGTGTGGTCCAAACCTTCTCCCCTCAAAACTCACATGCTTTTTCTTATGACAAGAAGCGAGTTAAAGACTGAAACAGGGCTGGGCGTAGTGGCTCACGCCTGTAATCCCAGCACTTTGGGAGGCCGAGGCGGGTGGATCACCTGAGGTCAGGAATTCCAGACCAGCCTAGCCAACACGGCGAAACCCTATCTCTACTAAAAACACAAAAATTAGCCAGACATGGTGGTGCGTGCCTGTAATCCCAGCTACTCAGGAGGCTGAGGCAGGAGAATCGCTTGAACCTGGGAGGTGGAGGTTGCAGTGAGGCAAGATCATGCCACAGCACTCCAGCCTGGGCGACAGAGCAAGACTCCGCCTCAGAAAAAAAAACAAAAAACAAAAAAGACTGAAACAGACCCTCCCAACATGATATCTCACTCATTCCTGCTTCCAAGCGGAAGCTACCAGCCCATCCTGCACCCCTTCTGCCCAATCACCCCCTGAAAGTGACTCACTTGTGGAGGAGGCAGCCCCCCTGCCCCTGGGGGACACACAGGCAGCATCTTCTTGATTTTGTCGCTGCTACACTGGCATGCAGGTGAAGGGTTCTGCATTGTCCAGTTCCCATTCTGGAAGAGGTCCATGATGGTCTGGGGAACTGGGGCAGTGGTCCACTCTTCCTCCCCTGCCTGGCAGGGCGTGTCTCTGCAAAGGGAAGACAGCAAGAGTAGGATTACCAGAGATGGCCTGGCCTTTCTGTTGCCTCAGGAGCACAGGATCATTCCGTAACAACCACAAACATGCATCTATTCCCTCACCATTTGGAAAAGACAAGCATGATCTCATTTGATTGCTTGATCCCACAACAGCCTTGTACACTGTGACATCATTTATATCATCATTATGTATCATTTTATACATAAGTAAAATAGAATGCAAAGAGGCCCTAAATATTTACATACTGAACTCAGTTCAATCCAATCAACCAACCATTTGCTCACACAACAAACATTCGTTGAGCATCTACTACGTGCCAGATGCTGTCCAGTATATTCGAGGGCCTAAGGTGAAAATACCTGCCTTCATGGAGGTGTATGCCCATGGAGGAGACGAACAACAAATACACTAATAAGATAACCTTAGATGGCCCAAAATAAAGCAAAATAAAAAGACAGTGACTGGGGAGAATGAACCTACTAAGAGAAGACATTTCAGCCAAAACATAACAATGATGGAGAACAAGCTGGGCAAAAGCTTGGCAAAAAGAACATTCTGAGCAAAAGCGATGGCAAGTGCAGGTACAAAGGCCCTAGGAAGAAATGCATTTCTATTTTTTAGGAATAATAGGAAGACAGCATGGCTGGAGTAGGATAAGCTACGAAGAAGAGTAATGATAAAGGAGGAGGAGAGGAGCCAGATGAGAGAGGCCTGGGAAAGAGTCTGGATCTTATGCTCGATGTGCTGAAAAATGAGTAGAGACTGGCAAGATCCAATTTATGTTCTCAAATGAGTAGAGAATTGGGGGATGACTGGGGTGAGAATGCTCGTCACATAAAGAGCTACGCTGTCTACAAATTTTCCCTGGAGATAAGACACAAAGCCTTCAACCTCATCTCCAGCTCTGAATTACTGTGGGACATCAGCAGGTCCCCTGCTCTTTTGGGGGCTTATTTTTTCCACTGGCAAAATAAAAGTTTAAAATGATTTGATTCAACAAGTCATTTCCAGTTCCCTTCCAGTTTCAGAATTCCACAATTTAAAGTAAAGTTACAGCAATTATTTCCTTATTATTAAATATTAAATATAATTGCCAGGCACGATGGCTCATGCCTGTAATCCCAGAACTTTGGGAGGCGAAGGCGGGTGGATCACTAAGTCAGGAGTTCAAGACCATCCTGTCCAACATGGTGAAACTCCATCTCTACTAAAATTAGAAAAATTAGCCAGTGTGGTGGCACATGCTTGTAATCCCAGCTACTCAGGAGGCTGAGGTAGGAGAATCACTTGAACCTGGGAGGCAGAGGTGGCAGTGAGCCAAGATTGAGCCACTGCACTCCAGCCTGGGCAACAGAGCGAGACTCCATCTCAAAAAAAAATAAATAAATAAAATATATATATATACACACACACACACACACACACACACACACATATATATATTATAAATATATATTTTTAACTATTTCTTATTGTTTTCTTATGTATTAAAAATTCAAATGAAGTTTTCCAGATTGATCTCTAATTGTCTCCTTAAAGCACCTGAACTGACCAGAAAAGTCACACTAAGACGCGCTGCCCTCCTGAAGCTTACACTCTGAACATTCAAAAGGGGATTGGCTGAGACAAATTTAAATACAGCTGAGACATGCTCCTGTCAAATTTCCTTCAGGTCCACCATTTTTTTGCAAAACCTAAAAATTTGAATTTCAGTAAGAATTGTAAGGATAAAGGCTCTTCCTTCCAACCACCTCCGGCAGACTGTAGGTGGGGCTCAGACATCATGTTTGAACCCTCTGATGTCAGGGCCGGGCCTCTTTTGTCTCTATGGGCTGGCTCTCAGCCCAGTTCTGGCTCCTACAGAGCCTTCCTAAGCTAGCATCAATCCATGAGTTCATATGGTTCAGCTGGCCAGTGATGAATCCAGATAACTATATTATCATCTCATCTCATGCTTCTATCTTCCCTACACAACCTTCATGTGGAAAATCAAAGGCACCATGAAATCCAGATAGGCCGTGTCTGTGTCCTTCTCTATCCTTGTCATCTGGTTATTTGGGAACCAATATTAGCTGCTAGGATTTACCACCCATTATGTACTAAGTACTAACAAGTATTTAGTAACTATCCAATACTAATTAAGAACAAACAAGCACACAGTAGCTATCCATTTAGAAATCTGCTCTAGAACCTTGTATAAACAGGTTATCATGCTCACTGTTCTGTGGTGTGCAGAGTCACCTATCTTCCCATTGAAACTTGAAAGTCAAGTTTGCCCCCTCTCCAATTCTCCAGCACCTTCCCACCTTGCCATAATTTTTCAGAGATCACTGTTGTTTCATGACCTCAGCTGAGATTCTGCCTAAACCTGGAAACACTAACCCACCTCTACCAGCCTTGAGCACGGCCTCATAAGATCCTCACCTCTCCACCATCTTCACTCACAGTGATCTGGTGACCTCCCTTCCCCTACACTCACTTAAGGGTCATATGGATGCTTCACTGAATTTATTTATCCACTGCTTACTTTTTAAAAGGGGGTTTTGAAGGAAAGTACAATAAAAATATACAATTTGAGAAGAAGAAAGTGTCCCTTTTTATAAAAATTCATATGCCATCTTTTCAGATTATAAAAGCGAAGAAGCTGATAAGCAAAACCTAAAAATCATATATAATGAGAGCCTATTGAAGCACTTAAGTACAGGGGCTGGGAGAGAAAGAAAGGAAAAGCATTTCATCAGTAAGTGTAAAGTGCTATTTAAATTAAATATTAAGGTTCTAAATCAGTAAACAAATGTCTGTAATGACGTGCTTTGCACGGTGTTAGAAGACTCTCCAAACGTTTGTTCCTAGATAATTTAGTTCGGTTACTACCTTCGCTTTTTGTAAATAAAACATAATAATAATTCAAAGGGCAAATGCTGGCGGTCACAATGTGGCATGCAGTTGATAAATGCAGCATATTAGAAATCAAACCAGGCAACAAGCACAAGAAGCCTGCTTATGGCTAAAGTGGCACTCACGGGATTGGGTTTCCTTCCATACAGCGGGTCCCGAAGCCAGGGTCTTTGGTGAGGGCGTTTAAGAGTTCCAGGGTTCCCGTGTCCTCAGGAGCATCATTGCTGTGGGTACATGAGAGGCAGCCAGCTTAGTAATTCATTAAAACCAGTAATCGAGAGATAAAAATGTTTTTATAAATTAAACATTTTAGGAAGCATTTCTCTGTGACAGGCTCTTAAAACAGAAATGAACAAAACACAGAAACCACCCAGAAGGATCTCAGACTCTGGCCCTGTATTCGGCATCAGGGTGACGTAGAGCACTCCAAAGTGGAGCTTGTTTTAAATGGGCTGTATGTATAAAGGTGTGTATGTGTACACACATGTACATACACATATACATTTATATATTTTTTTTAATTTGAAGAAAATCAACTCATTAAGTATTTCAAAAGTGCTTTCACAATTATCCCTTTGGCACAGACAAGCAGGATTTTCCAAGAAAGGGCAAGAAAACTTTGTACTCTTTGCATGCACAACTAGAAAGCACAAAAATAACAGGCACAGGTCACAAACACATGCTATGTTCCACAACTACGGGCAATACAGGGTCAGCAGCCGGAAAGGAAAAAATAAAGTAAACCTGAACTATGTAAGAAGAAAATGTGGGCTTAGAGAAAAAGAGGCCAATTCACATTACATATATATATATATATATATATATATACTTTTTTTTTTTTAAATGCTTCCCTTTTGTATCACTGACACAGTTCCCCCATCTACAGGTCTACAAATCTTTCAGGACTGAAGAAAGCTCCTGCTAACAAGACCCAGAAAAATCCTTTGTCCTTTTCTTTGATTTAATGTATTGTTACAGAGTGGGGGATATTTTTATCTAAAGAACAAACACTACCTAACATCCCAAATATAACAGAATAGATAATAATTACATGAATTATACTTTGCAGAAAACAAGTCTCTGGAGGTTCTATGCTTTGACAGTGTGCCCTGTGACTCAGTTACAGAATTAAAACACAGCTCCACAAATCCAAATATTTTATAACTTAATCATGGATTTTTGCAAGGGTGGATTATTTCACCTAAAACACATGTGGCTGTTCCTGACAACAGTAGGATGAAGAGGAGAGAGGCTGAAAGGCTCAACAGAAGACTGGCCTATTATTCAGGGTTAGTTCGCTGCTGTTCTATGCATGCAGTATTAGCTTATACAGGGACCTGAGCCGCAGCAGTAAAATTCATTCCACCGTGTAATTCTGAAGTCCATTCCCTTGGCCCTCGTAAACATCTTTGGTCTGCTCGAATCTTACCCCCTCCTGGGATGTAGAAGACAAACATACCTGACAAATGTGTACTGTTCGTTGTACATCCAGGGCTGAAGTTCCAGGCTGGGGTACTTGCCAAAGGGTGGCACGATCAGGCTGAACACAAGGGCAATGCAGACAAACACAGCTGGCAAGACAATCTTTACCCAGGCAGTGGAGGGGGCAGGGGGACAGCAGGAAACGGCAAGTGTTAGAAACAAGGCCAAGGGGCAAATCCCTACGAGTCCAGCCCACCTCCCCGACCAACCAGCACGGCAATGAGGAATGCAGGGCCTATGACTGTGCTGCACCAAGGCATTCTTGGCAGCTGGGAAGCAATGGAGCCTGAAAACTAAACCTTTTCTCTGGCAACACAAGGCCAGAGGTTATGGCCACCTGGCAGAGGCACTAAGCCAAGAAGTTCACGAAGTAAATAGTGCTCACATTCAGGGTGACTCAGAACACTGGGTCCTGCCCTTCCTCCTCCTGAAGACTGAGAAAGACTACATTGGGCCATGAACCCAGGACCAGGAGCCAGAAGTCCTGAATCCTGGTTCTGTCTCTAGCACAAGTGTACCCATGTGAAGTCACGCTCCCCACTGGCCTCAGTTTTCTCATTTTAATCTGAGGTCTGAGAACACATGGCCCATTCAAATCCTACACTATAATAAAACCAACTCTACAGCAACGGCTCCAATCATGGACAACCATAGTCATTATCTCCCATGATAGTCTCAGAAAGAATAAATATCCAATTCCTTCTTCAACCTCCTAAGACTTTCTACCATATCTTCTCTGAAAAAAAAATGACTTGGGTATACTTTATAAGTTAACCCAAAACTCCTTCCATTTATTGCTGAGAAATGTATTCCTTATAACCTTAAAGATTCAAATAATGCCCCCAATTCTAATGTTCTGGGATTTCAATGCAGAAAATTAACATTGAGTGAATAATTCTGTATAACAACTACTATAATGAGAACTATCTCTATGTTGTCATTATTTATGGTTGTGTTATCAATGGTCATCATCAACAAACAAAGGTAACTGAGGATCAGAGAGACTAAGCAGCTTGCCCAAGGTCATATAGCCAATAAGTAGCAAAGTCAGGATTCAACTTGAGCTCTGTATGCTCCAAACTCCCGCTCTTAACAATATCCACATCATCAAATGAAAGACTCTCTGCAGACCTTTTCTCTATATTTCTTGATTTTATAGAGTGAAAAAATTTAACCTTTCTAACTAAGCAAGTTAGCATGCAAACACTGACATGCAGACAATAGTCTAACAAGTCTTCTCTGTTGGCCAACTATATTCTGACCTATCTTTTCTATCAGTTTGAGTTAAACATCAACTCAGAGAAAAATCATGTTTCTAATAAATTCACATGTCAAGTGCATCTGGGCATAACAACTCTCATGTTATGACAGCTGAATACACCCAACCAGTTTTTCTACACTTTGTCCTTTTTATGTTCTCCTCCAAAATAAAAATAACATATACACACACAAAACTAAGCACTTACTAATGTCAGGCCCCATTCTAAGCACCTATTCATTTTTATTTTCGTAACAACCCTGTATTGCAGGTAATATTATTATCCCCATTTTACAGATGAGGAGATTGAGGCATAGAGAAGTAACTTGCCAGCGGATACACAACTGGCAAGGAATAGAACTGGGATTGAAATACAGATAAATCTGGCTCCGGCATCCATATCTTGACCAGGATGCTATCCTGCCTTCACTGGTCACAGAGCCTGCAGCCCACCCATGAAGCCAGAGTCTCTGGCGAAAACAGCACGTCTCACCTGAGCAAAAAATCCTTTCCGACTCCGTCTGGCAATTAGCAGTCTCTTCCACAAAAGGGCCACAAACTGTTGCTGTGTAAGTTTCCAGCCTTTCACCTGGTAGGACCCTTTGCCATCCATCCCACTGAGCAAGTCTGTCTCTCTGGATTCTGCAAGAAGCCAACACTGAAGGTCACCTATTATCTTAGGTGTTTTCGGCATTGCCATGCTCCTTCTTCTGGTGTCTTCAACAACTATCTTGAAGGCATGTGTCTGAAGCTAGAAGTTTCTCAGAAGTAAAGGGCTTTCATGACAAAGCTATGTCCAAGGAAAAGCTTGACTCAAAATGTCTAACAGTAGCAGTCTCTGCCTTTCAGTCCTTGTCTGATAAGTACAGAAAAGAAAGGTGTCTTGAGACAACTGAAAAGAGGTGTTCATGCGTAACCAGGTGTTACAGCCAGCCATTCGGATGAATCAAGTCATCAATTTCTTATAGACTACTCTATGAAACAGGCCATGTACGTAGCTTGACATATTTGAGAATACACAATGGCAATTAGCATCTCAGCTTCTCACCCTATTATATTTTGGTAAAACGTGGACACATTTCAAATGATCTAAGTACTGATACTGTATGAAGTCAGGCAGTTATATATAATGTAAGAGCCATACACTCTTTGAGCAGGGGTGAGAGAACTGGAAAGTTTTCTGTTCCTAAAAATTTTCTAGAAATCCTTGTCCTAAACTAATGATACCTAACTGATGTGCTTTTACATCTTAACAATATTTGTTTGATGTCTTAGCTCTCCTCTCCATCTCAGTTAAACACACAAAGACACACTCATCCAAAATATCTAATTCTTTTTTTTTCTTTTTTGAGATGGAGTTTTCACTCTTGTTGCCCAGTCTGGAGTGCAATGGCGCAACCGTGGCTGACTGCAACCTCTGCCTCCTGGGTTCAAGCGATTCTCCTGCCTCAGCCTCCCAAGTAGCTGGGATGACAGGCATGTGCCACCACACTCGGCTAATTTTTTGTATTTAGTAGAGACGGGGTTTCACCTTGTTGGTCAGACTGGTCTCAAACTCCTGACCTCAGGTGATCTACCCACCTCAGCCTCTCAAAGCGCTGGGATTACTGGCATGAGCCACCATGCCCAGCCTCAAATATCTAAGTCTTAGGGTACAATTAACTCTAACAGCAAATTCCCCTTTCTGACTCTTTCAAAATCACTCATCTACTCGAATGAATATTTGTTCAACAATTAAACACCTAATGTATACAAGAAACTAGGACCCCGCAGAAAAGATAATAAATACATGGGTTCAGAGGATTGAGGCACCATCTTTATGTCTTTAAAGGAAGTGATATGGATAGGCTCTTTCAGGTTTGATCACATGCACGATGCTGCAAAGAACAAGTGGCTTTTACCATTTCCTCACTTCTCTTTGGACTCTGTAGGGATCTATCACCTTGGCTAAAGGCCATCCAAAGAAAACAGGTGAGAGCATGAGAGAGAATTTCACATTCAAACAGTAGGACACTGTTTGATCTTGCCCTAACAGACCTGGGTCTATGTCAGAATCATTTGGATCAGCAGCATCATCTTCAGTGAACGGGCGAAGACAGCTCTGCTTGTCCCCGAAGGCCCGCCTGTTTCGTCTTGCTGGCAAGGTACCATCTGAAGGCACAAGGAAAGAATCCCATACTTTATTTTATTTACAACAAAACAAACCTTCCCCATCTGCAACAAACCTACACTCTACAAATGAGAATGCAATAGAACAATTCAAAGGGAAAGGAACAATACTCGTGCACTGAGAAAGCCAGCAGAAGGCACTATCTTAAGTGTGCCATTCTCCCTCAAGGCAGTTACCTGAGGTCTCAGCATCCACCCCACTCTCTTCGGCCACCTTGAGGAATATCTGGAAAATGAGAGAGATGAGAACATTATAAGCACCAACATTACGAGAGTAGTCACCACTGCCACGATTATTATATTACTGAGTGGCATGTTAGCCCCGTAAGACAGAGAAAGTAGAAGCCACATTTCTTAATAACACTTTCTCAGAGTTACCTGGGAGAGAAGCCGTTTTTGCCAGAGAACATTTCCTCAGTGGTGAGAGCTATCAAGCTAGACAATCATTTTCAAATTAAAGTTATGGCTGAGCGCTGTGGCTCAGGCCTATAATCCCAGCACTTTGGGAGGCCGAGGCGGGCAGATCACCTGAGGTCTGGAGCTCGAGACCAGCCTGACCAACATGGATAAAACCCATCTCTACTAAAAATACAAAATTAGCTGGGCGTGGTAGCACATGCTTGTAATCTCAGCTACTTGGGAGGCTGAGGCAGGAGAATCGCTTGAACCTGGGAGGTGGAGGTTGCAGTGAGCCAAAATCGCACCACTGCACTCCAGCTTGGGCAATAAGAGCAAAACTCCAGTCTCATCAAAAATAAAAAAAAATTTAAAAAAAGCTATGACAGACACTGCGCAGAAGAAATTTATTCTGAACCTACAGGGAATGAGTCAAGTGGCTTCTTTCAGGACTGTGGCTCTAAATCTTTGAGTAGGCTAGTACTATGATAAGTTATCCAAGACAGAATGAGCAGGAGGAAATAGAGCACTAGAAATATGATGGCAGCAATTCAAACATCAGAAGAGAATCTGAATGAGCGCAATCATTTCCAAACTCTAGTCTATAGACCACTGTGTCCAAAGTATGCAATAGAAATACAGACTTCAAGGCCTCACCTCCAGAAATTCTGATTCACAGGCCCTGAAGCCAAACCTTAGTATGTTTATTTTTAATAATATCCCCAGGTGATTCTGCTGCACTGTCAAGCTTGGAGACCACTTGGCCAGACAGCTTTTATATCCCCTTCAGCCTTCAAGGTCTGTGATGTTGTATCTCTAAGGGGAGGCATTACATGGATAAAGAGAGGATGGACTTTGAAGCCCCAAACCCCTGATTCTGAATCTCATGTCAGCATTCCTGAGTGTTCATTTTTTCATCTTTTTTTGAGAATTAAATGAGGTCACAGTGATTAAAAAAAAATCAAAAAACAAAAAACAAATCTCAGCACCTGGCACAAGTAGACTATCCATCCATAAACGTTTGTCATTTCCTATGTATGAGAATCCAGTTGATACCTGGCTGTGACACAGTCACACCAGAGAATTGCTCCTGATTCTGATTCAGTAGGTCTGAGCTGGGCCCAAGTTGCTGAATTTCTAACAAGTTCCCAAGTGATCCTGATGCCGCTGTTCCTCACACTGTACTTAAGTAAAGAGGCTCATTAAAGGGTAAATAAGTGCATAGGAGTTTAAGGTTGGGATGTAAATGTGTTAGGTACCACTGGTTTCAACACACAAATCTCAGGCATGTACTGTGGTACAGAGGAAAACACTTCTTTCCTGCTATCTCCCACTACCATCTTAAATGGCTCACTGGGGCCAACATTAATCAGATGTCGATGACCTAAAAACTCAATGACTAACTCCATGATAATCCTGCTCCCAATGCAGGCTACTGGTCTGGCCTTAGGACATTTGGCCTTGCTATATATTCCGACAGTCAGCCACTTAACTTACTTCTTCCAGGGTCGTCTCTGAGATGCCATAACTAGAAATGCCCAGGTCTGAGAGCCGGTCATCAATCTCATGAAAGAGTTCCACAAAGGCTCCCTCCTTAGCAGCTTCATATGGCAGCACATAGGTCAGCTCATGCCCTATGTCTTCCACCAGCCGGGCTTCAGACACATGCTTCCTGATGAGGTTGGAGATAGCAGAGACATCTGCAGGGACCAGAATGCAAAGATGGCTCAATCAACTCAGAGGGGCTTCGGAGTGAGGGCTGGCCATCCCCCACCCTCTCATCAGAGGCCTGCCGCTCATACACCACACCTGTTCCAGGTGTTTAGGTCATTCCACATGTTCATCTCTGGTCTGAGGGTTGGGGGCAAAGGAAAGGACTATGTCTTATTCACCTTTGTATCACCAAAGCCAGGCACATTATAGGTACTCAGTGTAGAATGGGTGGACAGCTGGATGGGTGGATGGGTGAATGGGAGGATGGGAGGATGGAAGGATGGGTGGGTGGGTGGGTGGATGGGTGAATGGATAACTGAGGCTCAAAGTCTGGTGTCTATTGCCTAAGCTCTGGGATTCTTCAAAAGAAAACTTGAGTAAAGGAATCTTAAAAGATTCTTCACCCTTTCCTATGCTTATAAAGTAGGTTCCCTCATTTACCTAAATAAAGGGTTAATCTAACAGTCCATGGAAGCAGAAGCCTTCCTGGGAAAAGCCAGCCATTAGGACTAGGCAGAGATAGCAAGGGTCAAGACTTCTGTTCCACATATGCTACTGGTGACACTGGCCTCCTACACACGCTACCCAAGAAAAATCTGGAAGGCTGTTCCTCATCTCCTGGGCTCTCACTCTTCTTATGTACTAAGCTCAAATCCCACCCTCCTGGCTTGGCCCTCAGCTCCTCATCCCTGGTATTCAGTGTCCACTCCCCTAAGGGATTCCCCAAACCCCAATCATCTCAGCTCTCTGGGACACTGCCCTGCTAGCTCCCAAACCGAGCCCCAGGCACCCCAGCAAGCATTAGGCCAACCCGCCACCAAGCTGCTCCCACACCCGCAGCCACCCAGCCCCAGCCCAGCAGCAAACCTTGAGTCAGCGCCACCAGCCTCTGCACCTCTCCTCCTCTGCCTCCACTCTGCCCAGCTGGGGGAAGCTCAGGCACCACCTGAATAAGAAACCCCAGAGTCCTTACCGATGGTCAGCGTGTCACTCTCATGGTCGCTGCCCAGGCCAGCATCAGAACTGCTCTGAGAAACACTGTCCTCCTGATGGCAAAGAAGGAGGTGAGAACGGGTCAGGGACGGAGCAAGGCAGAGCCACCAGCACCTTCGCCGGGGAGGGCTTCCAAGAAGCTCTGTTGTGTGAGAACTAAAGGAAAAAGCTTTCCCTGGGACACATGCACTGGCAGCCGTGGCTTCAGAGGACCCTGTCTGGCATGTGTGTGCCGTGTGAACAGCCTCGCTTCCTGAGGGTGAAAGGTCAGGAAGCAGAGCTGCCAAAAGAACTGTGGCCTGCCAATGAATGCTGCAATGAGGCCTTTGCCAACCATCTCAGGCAAGGCCTTTACCTGGCTACATGTCTAGTTCAATGCTTCTCATGCTTTAATGTGTGTTCAACCACTCAAGAACCTTGTTAAAATGCACAGATTCTGATTCGGTAGGTCTGAGCTGGGCCCAGGTTGCTGAATTTCTAACAAGTTCCCAAGTGATCCTGATGCTGCTGGTCCTCAGACTGCACTTGAGTTAAGAGGCTCATTAAAAGGTAAATAAGTGGATAGGAGTTTCAGGTTGGGATGTAAATACATTAGGTACCACTGGCTTCAACACACAAATAAATCTCAGGCATGTACTGCGGTACAGAGGAAAACATACCTGGTAATTGGGTCTGGTCCCACCACTGTTATTTACCTGCTGGGTGACCTTGAATCAGCTACCAATTCCCTACAAGCCTCACTTCCCTCATCTGGGATAATAAATATAGTTACCTTCTTCCCAGGGTCTCTCTGCACTTTAATTGAGATGATAGAGGTTAAAAAAAAAAAAAAGGTTGTAAATGGTAACAACGCTATATAAAATTAACTATTATCATTACTTTCTTTCATGCCCAGAGTGTCTCTGGCATGAAATCAGTGCCTAATAAATATTGGCTGTTTTATAGTTTAAAAGTTAAGGTCAATGAGATTGAAAAGTAATGAGCAGGAACACCAGGTCATTTGTAGCCAAGGCTCTTACCTCTTGACAAGTCTCTTTTCTTTGACATAATAATGTCCTCTAAGGACCTTCTCCATCACTCTCTGTGCCTCATAGGAAAAGGAAAACGGGATTCAACAGAACTAGCACAATGGGAGCAGAGGGCCCCTTAGCTTTCCATGCCTTAAGTATGATATGATTTCAAAGGGGCAACAGAGCAGGGAGATGGTGGTTTCAACATGGCAAAAGGGGTGGAGATGGAGAAATCATTCACAGCCAGCAAGTCCTGGCTGCCCAGACCCAACACCAGCCCAGCACCAAGACTGCAGCTCACCTTTTTCAGGTATGACACAGTGCTACTACTGTTTCTGCAGGAACTGAGGGAGGATTCCACATCTTTCTTGACCAAGGTCAGGTAGTAGCCTGTTCCCAGCTGGTTCTTCAGAAACAGGGAGGAGCCCACACAGCACAGCTTCCCATGGGAGATGATGGCAATCCTGTCCCCCAGGACGTCCGCTTCATCCATGTGGTGTGTAGAGAGAATAATGGTGCGGCCTGCCAGGCACAAACACAAGGATGTGGGACAGGTGAGGCCTCTCAGTTCTGATTTGTCACAGTGACAGGGACTAGAGAGATATTAGCAGGGGTAAGCACTGGAAGAGACCTGGAAGCCACCTTTCACCCTGTATGGCTATGACCCCTAGAATGGCAAAGCTTTGTATATATAGGTACCACATCCTCACAGAGGTAAGAACAGTAGCATTTTATTTGGGAACTTGCTATATGCCAGGCATTGTGCTAGGTGGTTTGTGTGCATTCTCATTTAATTTAATCCTCTATGAGGTAAGCACCACTATTATTATCGGCAAAGAAGGTGAGGCAAGTTGTGACTTTCCCAATGTCTCAGGGCCAGCCAGAGTTGGCTCCAAGCCTGCCTGTGCTCCTCATACTGTACCACATCAGATCTCTAACCAGAGAGCCCAATCGTCTTCCTGCCCCTCTCCGCTTCCATTCATTTAAGCATCCACCCTTTCAACTAACCATAAATTTAGTGCACCATGTTGGGGACAAAAAGATGAATAAAGACACAGCATCTCCTCTCAGGAATCTCAGTCTCAATGCCCTTTATCTCTTCTGTGATAACAGAAGAGTATCCCATGGCTTCACAGAAGCCTAGCCATGAGATACAGCCACACTTCTCAAAAGCCCCCCGCTCTCTCTCAGTCCATTTACTCAGAATAAATACACATCAGGCACCTTGTCGGTATTTCAGCAGCAGCTCCCATATTCCCCTGCGGGAGTAAGGGTCCACACCAGCTGTGGGTTCATCCAGAATGACAACCTTAGATCCCCCGACAAAGGCCAAGGCCACAGATAGCTTTCTCTGCATTCCACCTACAAAAAAACAGAGCAAGACAAACTCCAGGACCAGCCCCAGACAGTGAGTGAAGGCAGAGGACCTAGGGGCACAGCCAGGGACAAGTTTCTGTTACCAACCGCACCCAGCCTGGGACCCTGGGGCAGTGCTGATTTTCCTCCGCATGTGTGTAGCCGGAGGAGGAGGGGAGAGGGATAGGGAAGGTAGCTCTGGGCCGCACCTGACAGCTGGCTTGTTTTGCTTTTCAGCTTGCTTGATGGCAAACCAACATCCAGGGCCATCTGCTCCATCTCCGCCTTCACGTGCTTCTCAGAGAGCCCTTTCAAGCGGGCATAGAACCAGATGTGTTCTTCGACAGTCAGCCTGGGGACAGGGAGGCAGGTCAGCTCTGGGCCCTACTGGATACCCCAGAATACAGTGTCCCCTGGCCCAGAACAGATGAGAATGGGCATATTTTTCTCTCCCCGTGCTTTTTAAAATAACTTTATCAATTTCTGAAAAATAATCTTCAAGATTCAAGGTAGAACAACAGTGAGCAACCACATGAGCTGCTCAGGAAATCAAAGTGAAAGGTGACAGATCGCTTCCAACCTGTTTCCAGCAGGCCTGGCCACCATGCACCAGGCAGTTACAACTTTCAATTTCAGGGCCCCAAGATGTGGTCTTTAATGGGCTGTCCCCACAGCACGTCCACCAAGAAGTCAGCTCGGCACTCACCTGGAGCAGCCTTCCTGAGCCTCAGGGGACCTCAGGCTCTGAAAGCGGGGAGGACCCTGCACATGAGCCCCATGTGTTCACTTTAGATGAGGAGGGAGCACATGAGCCCCAGCTGTTCACTTTAGATAAGAAGAAACATAAGGGAAAAGCCTTGCCCAAGATTGCAGAGCTCAGGTCTCTCTCTGCTCCATCACACGGGCTCCCTGGGGGCCTTATGGCTGATGGGACAACCTGAGTGGGAGCAAATGTCTTAAGCAGCAAATATAGGTCCATCATACCAGGGCCCTGAAGCACTACCAGGTCTGGGAAGTCTGCTCCAGGCCTCAATAAGGAGGGTGGCGGGGGAGAGGATGGGCTAAAGGGCCCTCCAGCATGACAATAATGGGAAGCAATGTTTCCCAAGCCCCCATCCACTGGCTGGGCTGATGTCACCTCTACAGCTCAACCATTCACCTCCCACTTCTCCTAAAATCAAAGAACAACTAGGTCTCAAGGTGTTCACGGAGGTGAGCCTGCCATATTCAAAGAAAGTAAAATGTGGCCAGACACAGTGGCTCATGCCTGTGTTCCCAGCACTTTGGGAGACCGAGGTGGGCGGATCACGAGGTCAAGACATTGAGACCATCCTGGCCAACATGGTGAAACCCCGTCTCTACTAAAAACACAAAAATTAGCTGGGCATGGTGGTGTGTGCCTAGAGTCCCAGCTACTCGGGAGGCTGAGGCAGGAGAATCGCTTGAACCTGGGAGGCCAAGGTTGCAGTGAGCCGAGATCGCGCCACTACAGTCCAGCCTGGCTACAGAGCGAGACTCCATCTCAAAAAAATAAAAAAGAAAAAAAGAAAAAACAAAAACACAGCAAAGTAAAATGCTTAAGTCCCACTCCTCCCATGATGGCATGACACACACACATCCAGAAAAGGCCTATTCTTAACGTGCTGCTGGTACTCACATGTCAAACAGCACGTTATGCTGGGGACAGACCCCCAGGTTCTGCCGGATGGTGCTCATCTCAGAGCGAATGTCTTTTCCCAGGATGTAGGCGGTGCCCGAGGTCGGGGGGAACAACCCGGTCAGGATTGACCTGAGGACAAAAATTTAGAAGTACAGAAGTCAGGGTTGACCTACCCTTAACTCTAGATGCTCCATTCAGTCTGCAGAGAGAACAGAACACCAACCCTCCCACCGCCCCCATTCCTTTCTAATGAACCCTACCAGACCCACACAAAGCAAAGCTGTCCTTTTGCTTCGGTAAATAACTACAAGTGGGCCTATGGGTTAGAAATGCCAATTTTAGTATGAGCATTTTTTAAACGAAGTTTCCAATCTGCAATGAAAGTATTCTTTAAAAAATGTATTTTGTATGCCTAACATCGCATGCATGGAAAATGGACAAACAAGAACATATTATTCAAAGATAAAAACAATTTTTGTGTTAGGTAGTAGGATTTCTGACTGCCTTTTAAAAATCTTCTGAAAAGCTCATAATATATTAATTCTATGTTTTAAAAAAAGATTAAAAAGAAAACAGGAAAAGAATGTCACCCCCCAAAGATATACCCTTTGGAATGGTTAGAATGGTTGAGGAATCGTGCTGGAAGCCACTGAGGCTAACGCTGGTGCTTTACAGCCCCTGACCCCTCCTGATACTACCCACTGTAAGGTCCTTGAGGTCGCAGGGAAGGCAATCAAGCCAGCTGCCCAGCTTGATTGCGTCTCACAGGTGCTTCTCACATCTGCTTAGAGACAGAGTTCCTGGGAATTACCAACTCCCTCCAACATATGTAATCTATCTTTTCGTGGCTGCAGGTTCCAAGACCACTGCAGAATTCTGTGAACTACATGGGAAAGGTCATCTGAGGCCCCAGCTTGTTTTAGGCTGAAGAAATAACATCTAGCAAACTAGCACGTGGAAAGACACTCATGATTAGATAACATGTTCACATTCGGCAACTCCTCATGTGCTCCTTCCCTTGGCCCAGGGATCAGCATGGTTTCCTAAGGTATAAATTTCTAACTCTACTGCAGAACCCTCCTGTGGCTGATTCTGCGGGAACCACACCCTCTTCTTACATGGTGGTCGTCTTCCCCGCTCCATTGTGGCCCAGGAAGGAGGTGATCTGGCCCTCATAAAAATTCAGTGCCAGGCCATCGACAGCCACCTTCATCCCATCTCGGTAGACTTTTACCAGGTTCTGAATGGACACGCCCAGCTTCAAGTGGGTGGGTTCCTCCTCCATGCAGACTGTGACAGGAGAGAAGACAGAAATGAACCCACAGAAAGCACTGAGGAGTGGAGTGTAAGGACACAGGGCACTGCGCTTGAACTTTCAGAAGTGCCTTCTCTCCATGTCCACCCTGGTTTCTCAGGCAGGCAGGAGGCTATAAATGTTTATTTAGGGCCTATTTGGGTACTGATGTTGGTGATGGGAATACGATGATAAAGGAGCATTCAGAGTCTATTGGGAAAAAGGACTTGATGAACAATTAAAATAGAGGATGCTGAAAGCTGTTTAAAAAATACATCTAAAAATGCCATGGAACTGTGATACACCCCTCCCAGGGAACACTACTCAGCAGTGAAGAGGAATGAACTGTTGACACACACAACTTGGATAGATCTAAGGGAATACTGCTGAGTGAAAAAAAAAAAAAGCCAGTATCAAAAGGATACCTACTGTATGGTTCCATTTATGTAACATTCTAGAAATAATAAAACTGTAAAAACGAGGAACGCATTAGTGGTTGACAGGTGTCAGGAACTGAGGAAGAAGGGAGGTGGCTGTGGCCATTAAGGGGTAGCATGAAGGAGCTTTGTGACAATGAGATATTTCTGCAGCTTGACTGAGCTAGTAATTACATGAATTCACACATGATAAAATTGCATAGAACTAAATACGCACACACACACACAAATGAGCGCACATAAAGCTAGTGAAATCTGAAGAAGGTTTGTGAATTGTACCTATGTCAATTTCATGGTTTTGATACTATTCTACAGTTACACATGCTGCTACCATTGGGGAAACTGGATGAAAGGTTTAAGGGAACCCCCTCATGTAATTTGTATTACTTCTTGTGAGTCTGTAATTGTTTTAAAATAAAAAGATTTTCTTTCACGTGCCATGGAAGTTCAGGGCAGAGAGTGACTGACTACCTGAGAACCAAGGAGGGATGCTCAGGGGAGGGGATCCGGAACTAGATCTTGGAGAGAAAGGAGGAGTTGAGAAGATAGGCAAGTTAGAGAGAAAGTTCTCCTGTGAGAGCAAACAGTACCTACAAAGGCATGGAGGTGTGGAAGAACATGACATATTCCAGCGACTGTGAGCATTTCTAGGTGACTGAAACAGGAGCTAGGTGTAAAGAGGAGGTAGGAGAAGATGATTAGGAACAGCAGGCAAGCGTGCTACACTAAGGGGCATCATACTTTTACCAAGGGCAATCAGGGGATGGGCACAGAAGAGACTGGCAGAAAAGGGACCTATTAAATATTTAGGAAGCCACTCTAAGCACAAAGAACCCAGAAGGCAGAGCCTTTGATGAGCTGTGGACATCTCTGTCTGCAGTTAAGAGCCAAGAGAGGATTAGGGATCTGGGTAATGATTACATTATGAAGCATAGGCTGAGCTCTGTGGTAGCCACTTGGTCTCAGCCCACACAGGCTGATACACAGGTCACCATGTCACAGGCAGGCAGCGAGGCTATGGTTCCACAATCACGCTTGTCTTTACCTCTTTCTTCTAGCTTGTTAGGAGACCATGAAATGTGTGTTTGGGAGGGGGCAAGTAAAAGATACTCTTCTAGAAGCCAAGACAACAAAGAAAATGTCCCTCAGGGATCGAGACCGTGAACTCCCAATAGGTCAACAGCATTGGACATAAATGGCATGGGAGGATTTGGAAAGGGACACTGCATGTGATTTCTCTGCCCCTGGAGTGGTTTCACAGTCTTTTAGAAAGGCAGGAGACATCGCTTGCCCCCAACAGTTAGCAGAGGCAGCAGCACTAGGTTAAAGAAAGAGCAGGAGGTCAACAGCACTTACTTTCTGATATTCTCTTCTGGTTGGAACCAGGGTGGCTCTTCTCATCACTTTCCTCGCCAAACCAGTAGGACTTGGTGCAAGGAAAATACCAGGGCCTGGGAATTCCGTACTGGCCTGAAAGCAAAGCACAGGTATGAGCCAAGCTCAGCATCATCCCAGTATTCTGAGGGTTTCCCAGCCAGGTCCATTTCCTCCTTGACACATCCTTTGGAGAAGGAACAGATTTGAATGGATGTGGGGAAAGAGGGAGCTAACATTTGCTGAAACCTGCTATGTACAACGTACATTCTGCACCTCTGTAAGTCCTTCCAACAACCCACGGGGCAGGTGCCATCCCCATTTTAGAGATGAGGAAACTGAGGGATAAGGAGCCTATCCAAGGTCCCTCAGCCAGTAAGTTAAGACTCAGAATTTAAATCCAGAATCTGCATGCTGCAAAATTGCATATTCAATGAAAGAAGTTCAGGCAGGAGTAATAAATATTTCATGTATACCTCCTTAGGGGAGGATCAGAAGGTGAACCAAAAAGGGTTAAATCTTGCTCTCTCAGAATTTGATCTCATATGAAAACTGTCCAACGCAGGTTCCTCTTGGACTTGGTCAAGAAGATGTATTATATTAAGAAAGAAGTACTAAAGAAAAATTCAACATGAATTTTTATTGAATGCTAATTAAATCACAGGCAGGCCTTAGAGCTAGTATATTTAATTATTAACAACCTGTACTCAGGAAACAGAACCTCTCCTAGTTGTACCCCCTCTGAGGACACAGAAATACAGAATTGGGTGAGCATTGGGAGGATTCGCCTGGGCTTATTGACCCAGTGTAACCGAAGTGGATTCACCTCCACGTACCAACATTTAACAGTTGTGTGACCAAAGCTGGTTACTTAACGTCTTTGAGTCACAGTTCTCTCATTTGAAAATTGCTGGTTATTATAGTAACTACTTCAGAGTAGCCTTGTGAGAATTAAATGAAGCAATGTGTATAAAACATTTTGCATGCTGCCTGGCACACAGTTTTCAAGAAACAAGTGCTGTACAAGTAGTGACAATTGTACTTTCAGCATCAGCTGCCTGTCCTTGGACTATCTGTTTACTATAGATCTATAGCCCAAACCACTTCCCAGGGAAGCCCATGCACTGCAGAGATTCTAGCACAAAGAAAGGACATCAGCTAGAAGTCATATTTTCCAAACAGATGCCCAAAGCAGTGTACCTGGAAAGACAGCCTCAATGTACCAGGTCATCACCCCATAGAGGAAGGTGTCAAACAGCATCATGGAGACCGAAGTGGTGAGATTGAAGCCATCTTCCTCCACAGGACTCTCAAACAGGTTGTCCCACTGCACTCCAATGCCCTGCTCCTCAAAAAGGGCAAAGTACTCACAGCCAAACCCAAAAGCCACAGGAGACAGCAGGCTCTGTGAGAAACAGGCAAAGTCACCTATCCATTTCCTGGTCAGTCTCATTTTTCTATCTCTTCTAGTGTAAATTATACCTGGAGAAATTTGAATTTGCAAAATGGATCAATCATAAGGTGCAGAAGTAGTATTTACCTATAGAGTCCCTTTAGGGGAGTGGTGGGCTACCAAGTAACATATAAAATGATTCCATTTGTAACCACTCATTATATACAAACATTTCAGAAATGCATATACAGTGAAGCATAAAACTTTTAAAACTTTATGTTTCCAAAGATGCCCCAAGGCTCAGCAATCCTGTTCCCCCACACACATGCGCATACCCACAGTCTTCTGAGGCTCCCTGCTCAGCCAAGGATGGCTCAGGATCAGAGGTGCCTGTTTGGGGCTGCTGATGCCTATGAAGCCCAGACTGAGGCAACAGGAGCATCCTATGAGTCACTCTTAGCTTTCCTGATAAGTGACCTGGGGACATCTGACAACTTGCACTTGTAGGGGCTCACACACTCTCCAAGATATCCCCCTGCTCTGTACGAGGGAAGGAAGTGTCCAAGTCAGGAATTTGTGGGATGAGGCACCTGCTCCTCAGTTGTGCTTAGTTCAGAAAACATTACTCAAGCAAAACACCATACTGGACACAAGGAAGACAAGAGAGGTCATCTCTGACATCAAGAGTTTTCAGTTCTATTTGTGGCCTTGGCTTTGTCATGAGCTTAACATAGCCAACAGAGCTGGGAGATAAAGGGCAGAGATGGCATCTGTTGCCTGAAGCCATTCCTCAATGCCATTTATCCCCAGCCCAGTTCAAGATGCAGTCTGGCTCTCGGAAAAATTCCATTCAATTCAATTCAACCAGGATTCACTGAGAAGACTAAAGGTAAACAATTTAATAAAACACAATGCTTGCCCTTACCCTTAAAGAGCTTAGAATCTAGAGCTAAGGTTCATGTCCCATTGGAAAAGACAATCATCTTCTGTTCTCAACTTGCTGCTTTTATTCAGGGACTCCAAAGGAAGGTCAAATGCCTACAGCCACTGAAGAAAGGCCAGAGGTACTCACAGCGAAGATCTTGAGTGTGAAGCCCACGTAGTCCTGCCATGCCACACACAGGACGTAGGGCAGGTACAGCGTGAAGTAGATGATGCCCCCACAGGCTGCTGCCAGGTTGGCTCTGGAGAAGAGTGTGCTAATCAGGAAGCACTGCAGGATTGTCACCACAGCAAACACGGACAGGAAGACAAACACCACGCTGGGATCACTGTAGGGCAGCAGGTTTCCTAACTGGGAAGGAAGAGACACATCAAATGTGCTGCCTCAACAATCCCAAGCACTCACTTGTATGATCTACAGAAAAAAGACAGGGTTTATTCCTACTCATGTTAGAGACAATGCAGAGGCGTAATGCTGTTCATCTTTCTGATGAGGCAACTGATCATTACCATCCTAAAGAAGATAAGTGACTTACCCAAAACTACGCAGAAAAATAATGGCAGAGTTATGAATACAACAGAGTCCAGGGCTTTCTACGCATTTCAGTGGGCGAGTTTGCTCTTTGTTTCTTCAATAGGTAATTTCAACTGGTTTCTCCTTATATAAGGACTATGACTGGTGGCACCACAGAAGAGCTGTGGGAGATAATATCCCACGTAACTTTTCTGTCTAAAAGCCAAGGAAAATGGCCAGGCAACTTGACTTTCCCTCTTGATCACCATGGATTCTGCATTCCCACAATCATCCAAACTCTTGTGGATATTTTGAGCCTATCTCCGGCTGATGGGTACATGTCTGCAGGACCCACCAGCATGCAGTTGTCTCAGAGCAGCTCTTATGCACCAACCATGGGACCACTACCTCTGCCACTGACCTTCCCCTTGCAGTTAGATAACAGAGCATGAGGGAGGGGTTGCTTTTAGCAAGAACTGTATCCTACTGTGGAACCTCAATAAAGTCCTTGACCTTCCTGAGCCTCATTTCCTTGTCTGTTAAAAGGGTTAGTGAGGATAGAAGAAGAAGCCCATGTGATGTGTTTAAACAGTCCTTGGCAATCAGTAGGAACTATTTGTAACAGATGGTAACTAGTATTAAATTAGTTAGTTCTTATCTCTTTGTACTCCTTTTGCTTCAAAAACATTTATTTTTACCTGATGTGTCTTTATATGAAATGCTTGCAGAGAAAGAAAATTCGGATATAAATATATTAATGTATGGTTCAGACACAAAACTGCACTGCCCAGAGTCCCCATTCAGGGAAGCCTTGTTGCCCAGCTGTCAGTAGACGGCCTCAGGCATCAGCAACTCTGGGTTTGTCACAGCAGCAGAGAGCCATGTAGGCCCTGGGGCACGACCTTCCCAGGGCAGCCCACATCCAGTGATTGATTGAGAGGGCTGAGGTAGGTGGTGTCAGGAGGGAGGCCTTGGGGGAGCACAAAGGGCTGGATGTTTCAGCTCGATGAAGAACAACTCCAACAAGCTGCATATTCTCTAGAGTGCCCCACGGGGTTGGCCCTATATCACAGTTCAACTCCTCCCTCTGCCCAATCCTGCATCTTCCATATCTCTTCCATAGGTATTGAGCCCTCATAAATACCCATACATCAAACTCTATTTCAGCCTCTGCTTCCAGACAGTCTAACCTGCAACAATATATATCCTTCTGATTATTGTTCTTAGAAACTTAGGAAGAATCGCCACCCAATATATCTAAGAAAATAAATAGCTTTCAGATGCTGCCATGAACCACTACCAATGAGACAGCATGGCACAGTTGAGCATGTGGTTATCTGGAAAGCATGAACCCTGCACTCTCATCCTACTTAGCTGCTACCCGGCTGGGTTGACCTTGGGCAAGTCACTGCCCCTCTCTGGGCCTCACTTTCCCCAACTATAAATGGATGAAATTGCAGGAAATGACAGGTATGACCCCTTCTCTACCAGAGGCTTGGATTTTTTTTCTTCTTCTCCTCCCTTAGCCCGTGTTGAGCTATTTCGGAGTTTCCTGGCAGGGAAGAGCGAGTGAGGCTGCCTTACCTTCAGGATGACCACTAGCAGGCCAGCGCTCACAAGAAGAGGAATGAGGCTACTAATGAACCAGCTAAACCAGAGGATGCTGTTGTCCAGGCCCATGATCCGCATGGTCTCTTTCAGCCGTGCCTCCTTCTCATACACGATGCCCTTGATGATCACAGCCACTGAGTAAATCCAGGCCAGCGTCATGAAGAGGGGCATTGACCGGCTCATCACCCGCAGAAAGCTGGAGGCCCCAAGGAAGGACAAGGGGAGAAAGAAAGACACACGTGAGCCAGGGTGATGGGCCAAGGCCTCTGAGCCTGCATGCTAGAGGGAGCACCACATCTGGGCCACAGAAGGACAGGCCCTCTAGACTCTGAAATGTACGTATGATCCAATGCTTCACGAGCAATGCAATGTAGAGAGAAAAACGAGGCTAACAAAGTGTTGCCAAACCAAATTTCTTTGGGGGCTTGCTTCAGTAACTAGGTAACTGTGAGCGATACTTAAACTAAAGGTAGATTATGTTAAAGTACTAAAAACCAAAACAAAAAAACAACTCATTCTCTCACAAAAGTTCAACATCTCCAAGGTCATCTCACTATTGACTTGCTTATCGTAACTCTAATCACACCACAGACATACATTTCAGGCAGCTCTTGTCAATGTTTCAGATTCCAAGCTAGAATAGAAAATGCAGATGTGCAAAGTAAAAAGGCACACAGATTTTGGACCCTGAACTTGAGGTTCACGTCAAAGCTTTACCATGTAGGCACATACTCACTACATGACAACAGGCACCAGCTCTTAATGCCTCTGAACTCCTGTGCCCTGTCTTAAGACATCCTTTCTAGAGTAAACCTTAGCTTAGGGGTCTTTGTAAAAGTCTTCCTTTGAAAAATTCCAGCTAATTGTTTAGAAGGTGAAAAACAGGATAATTTCTGGTGACCTTGAAAAGCTATAGATAGCCATACAAGGAAACACACTATTCAATGCAAAACAGAGAACCAATACAAGCAGAACCCAGCTCCTCCCGCATCCTGATCCCTACACACACACACACACACACACACACACACACACACACATCCCACCACCACCACCAACCACAGAGAATAAGAGAATTTCCAGAATCTGGAAGAAACATTACATATTTCAGATGTCTGCAATAACTACACCTCCGCCCATTGTCTTAGAAGAAATCATTACATCCAAAGGCATAGTTCCCACAATGAGAACTTGGCAGCTTAGTGACTCAGCACTGAAAGATTTTCTAAAAAGTCTAAGAGGAAGAAGCTTTGTTCAGTTTTATTTGGGTTGTTTTGAAATGTGGTTTACCACCTAGGGAGAAGAAGTGCACACATTTACATAAACTGTGCTTTTATAAGTTTAGACGCTGTTTCTGCATCTATGTGTGAGTATGTGCTTGCATGTGTTTGTCATGACACATTTTAAGCTTGCAGATTGAGCAAATTTTGACCAAAAGGGTAGAGTGTAAAAAATTAAAGTGGTGGGCTGGGTGCAGTGGCTCACACCTGTAATCCCAGCACTTTGGGAGGCCAAGGAGGGTGGATTGCCTGAGCTCAGGAGTTGAAGTCTAGCCTGGGTAACATGGTGAAACCTCGTCTCTACTAAAATACAAAAAGTCAGCCGGGCGTGGCAGCATGAGCCTGTAGTCCCAGCTACTGTGGAGGCTGAGGCAGGAGAATAGCTTGAACCCGGGAGGCAAAGGTTGCAGTGAGCCGAGATCGAGCCACTGCACTCCAGCCTGGGCGTCAGAGCGAGACTCCATCTCAAAAAAAAAAATAAAAATAAAAAGATAAAAGTGGCAACCATGGATGAGAAGGAAAGAGGTTTACTAGTGTGTGCACATATATCTATGTCTGTCATGTGGCTGCAACTGTTGACAACTTACATCTGGCATCTTATTTCCAGATCATTCACACATGCATGCACATGCACACACATATATACACCCCCATCTGGCACAGTATAAACTGGTTAAAAACAGTGGCTTGCAGGTAACTTACATGTCATCAACGTAACAGGGATAGGGCATCTGTTGCATATAGACACCAGTTTTCTTCTCGGTGCCCGTCAGCACCCTGATGATTGCCTGCTCCACCACATCCTGCAAGTAGGCGAAGCCCCCCCAGACGTACCGCATGTCCTCAAAGGGGTCAGCTCGAGGACCAGGGTCCCAGTACCTAAAACCAAACCACAGGTAATCAACCATTCCTTTAGAACCATACAATAAAAAAAAAAAAAAAAAAAAATTGCCCAAAACCCTACTACCCTTACCAAGCCCCTTTTTCTATTTTTGTATCTTTTTTTTTTTTTGAGATGGAGTTTCACTCTTATTGCCCAGGCGGGAGTGCAATGATGCGATCTTAGCTCACTGCAACCTCTGCCTCCTGGGTTCAAGCAATTCTCCTGCCTCAGCCTCCCGAGTAGCTGGGATTACAGGTGCCTGCCACCAAAATTCCTGGAATTAATTCCCTTGAGTAGAAATGCTAAATCAAAAGATACTGTTATTTTATGACCTATGAAAAACCTTCCAGCAAGTCATGTACCAATTTCACCAAAATCATGACACCAAGTTGAGTTTTTTTGTTGTTGTTGAAATTTCTACCAAATTTTTAGTTAAAATAAAGTACCTCTTGTCCTAATATAATAGGTGCTCTGGACCTCCCCAAGACCAGGCTGGTGTGATGGGATTCCACTTACCCATCCTTGATTTTATTTGTCCTCTCCACATTGTCAATGTCCATTCGGATCTTGTACTTGACATGATGGGGCAGCTCAATGCTGCCTGGAGTAATTCCAGTGAACACAATACCAGCCCAGAACTTCCTCTCATCCAGCAGCTCCATGGACTTGTTGATGAGCCAGACTTCTGTTGCTATGGGTTCTAGCTTGTTCAGGTTGACACACTGATAGAAGAACAGCCTTCATGAGAACGTTGGCAGCCAGGACAACAAGCAGTGGCTGAGACAAATCCTACACTAGGAGGCAAGGGCTGACTACACGATTGCTCATCCTCTCTCTCTAATCCTCTCTAACGTAGTTTTCCAACCTTCAACCAAGAATGAAGGATTTTGGTTTTTCACTGCAATTTAAGAGAAATTCTAAGAGTAATTTAGGGATATGTTATTTATTGATTTTGTGGAGGAAAAGAGGTTAAAACAATGATCTTATCTTACTTTTCTGTTTTCTTAGCAATTCTGAGTCATAGCAACTAACCAACCAACCAGACCAAAACACCTCTTACCCATCCCTACTAATATAATTTTTAATATAAAATTTCAAAAATTTAATTGGACCCGAATTCGATTTTAGATAAGTTTCACAAATAATGCCTTTTTAAGGGAATGCTTTGCTACCATTAGTCACTGAGATAGGAAAACCTAGAAGAAAATGGGTAGAAATATTCTCTTGAGCCTATATAGAATAAGCTAGAGTTAATTTACTAAAGCTAGAGTTTATTTACTCATTCAACCACTCAACTAACATTTATTAAGTGCCTTTTGTTATCAAATCCTGTGTTAGGCTTGAGGGATAGTTTTGTAAATGAGACTATACATTATTTCTAAACTTGCCTCCTGCCTGAACCTTATTGTAACGTCTCAGAGAAAGAAGCCGTTAAGTCTTTTCTAAATGATCCCAGCAACAGATTCACCTCCATGAAGCGAGATATGGTCCGGATTGCCTGGTTAGTCTCGTTGAAAGCTTCTCTCCAGGTGTACACAGAACCATTACTGGACTGGACATCCTCTGGGTGCTTGGCCAAAAACGCCACGATGTCTTGGGCTGTCCAATCTAAGCCATCCAACTGCTGTTCCCAAAAGTGGTCATTGTCCCTGCTGTCCAACAGCATCTGCCATTCCAGTGAGAAAGTACAAGTAGTAAACACCAACTAAATCTTGAGGAGCACTACAAAATTTACAAAATACTTGCATATACACTGTCGTTGTTTTATCCTCACAGAAAACTGAGGTAAATGACAGTGTCCCTATTTTATATGTGAGAAGACTGAGGCTGAAGAAAAAAAAACATGATTTTAACCAGGGCTTGGTCATAGTATTACTAGATGTGGAGCTGAGACTCAAAGTCAGACCAGTCTGAATTCAGAGTCCATGTGCTTTCCACTATACGAAACATCTCACTTAATGGTATTAACTACAGTAACAACAACAATACTTCCTTTATATAGTTACTATGTTGAATAGTGTATATGCTTCACCTTACACAACTCCATAAAGAGGGCACTTTTATTTTTTTGCCTTTTGTTGTTGTTGTCGTTTGGATTCAGTGTCTCGCTCTGCCGCCCGGGCTGGAGTGCAGTGATGGAATCACAGCTCACCGCAGCCTTGACCTCCCAAGCCCAAGTGATCCTCCCATCTCAGCCTACCAAGTAGCTAAGACTACAGGTGCACACCACCACACCTGGCTAATTTTTAATTTTTTCATAGAGACAGAGTCTTGCCATGTTGCCTGGGCTGGTCTTGAACACCTGGGCTCAAGTGATCCTCCCACCTCAACCTCCCCAAGTGCTGGGATTACAGGCACAAGCCACCAGCCCAGTGAGTATCCTTTAATATTTCCCATTTTATACATGAGAAAATGGAAGTTCAGAGAGGTTAAGTCTCTAAGATTGGGTCACACAGCTATTAAGTAGCAAAGCCAGAATGAAAGCATAGGCCCTCTGTTTCTAGTGCACCTCCCCCTCCCCACTGTGTTCTATCACCTTCCTCTTTTGAGACCCAGTCTGTTGATCCCACATAAAACCTAATTCCTTCTTACTGCTTAGTTTAGAAAAATAATGCTGCTGGTTAAACCAACTAAAGTACAATCTTTTCCAATTGCAGGATGTACAGGTCATGATGCAAAGGAGGCCTATTTCCATTTCTTGTTCCCTTGCCAGTTGGTTCCTCACATGGGTCAACACGAAAGAGAAGGACAGATCAATCCGCTGCTCAATCAGCAGATCCAGAGGGGCCGAGGCAGAGGCCTGCACAGATGTGCTGCCGGAAAAACAGCAGCTGCAAACTCAGCAAAAAGGAGAGGCATTTGCAACTCCTGTCACAGCTTCGACAGAGAAGATGAAGCTCTGGTTCTACCGAATTGGAGTCTCCAAGGGTCTGAAAACTGCTGCTTTATAAAAAAATCAGTCTTAGTTTCACTAACATTATAAGCTTTTCCCCCCTTGCGCCTTTGTATTTATTATTTCAATGGCAGCATAATGATTGTATAGAGTATATGTAATTTCATTAATTATTCCTATAGTGCTGAACATTTAGTCTATTTCCAATTTCTCACAATAACAATATAGCAATAACATTTTCTCTCATATGGTGACTTCTTTAAAATTATTTCAGTAGGCTACATCCCTGGGGGTGGGTGGAATGGAGGTACGCAGGATAGCATATTTTAAAATGGTTCTTTAAATTTTCATTCCAAATTGCTTTCCAATAGAGAATAGCAATTTATACCATCACCAGGAAGGTATGTATGTATTTTTGTTAACATAACAGACACAAAATTGTACCTCACAAGTTCACAGAGGCTAGGGTTAGCAATTCTGAAGCCACTTTATTTGGAACAAACAAAAGCAGAGTGAAGAGACGCAGCCTTTAGGGTGAAGTCGGCCCTGCCCAGTATGGTTTCTGAACAACATGGCCAAAAAGAATAGCAAGACTAGAAAGATGCGCCCACTGAGATCACTGAGCACGTGGCCTCTCTGGGGTGCTCGTGAGGGGCAGGAGACCTAAGACTGCCCGCAGGGGTGGAGGCAGAGAGAAAACAGGTCCCGAGGATGGGTGGCTAAAAGCAGCTCAGAAAAGAGAGCAAATCAGTGTCAGAGGGTTCCAAGACTTGCCCGAGAGAGGTGCCCTGGGACCTGTGGGGTGAGGCAACATGGGTAGACAGTGCCAGAGAAAGCAGAAAGATCAGAGCTACCCCAGCAGAAGCAGAAGCCTCAGCCATCACCTCGTGTAGGAGATGCCAGGCTACAGGGGGTGACAAGCTCATGTTTGTGGAATTAAATAAACACTCTTTAAGAGAGGGAAGAAAGGCCGGGCGCGGTGGCTCATGCCTGTAATCCCAACACTTTGGGAGGCTGAGGCAGGTGGATCACTTGAGGTCAGGAGTTCATTCCAGCCCGACCAACATGGTGAAATCCCATCTCCACTGAAAATACAAAAATTAGCCGGGCACAGTGATATGTGCCTGTAATCCCAGCTACTCTGGAGGCTGAGACAGGAGAATTGCTTGAACCCAGGAGGCGGAGGCTGTGGTGAGCCAAGATCATGCCACTGCATTTCAGCCTGGGTGACAGAGCAAGACTCTGTCCAAAAAAAAAAAAAAAGAGAAAGAGAGGGAAGAAGCAAAGAAAACAGTTGGAAGAGGTTCCCTTTTCTTCCACCCACAGGCTGATGACTCCCTCATCATCTGTCTCCAGCCCAACCACCCTCCTCCACTGCAGACCTCAGTAGCCACTGGCCTACTGGACATCGCTACCACCCACCCAGCTAGAAATCGAGACTCACTTTGATGCCTCCCTCTCTTTCACTGCTCTGCCACTAAGCAGTCACCAGGCCTCATTTCTTGCTTTATGCCTTGGCCACTTGGAGAGCCTCCTCCCTGGTCTCTGCCTTCATTCTTGCCTCATCCTTCTTCAATTCATCCACCCCATCAGAGTAACGTATCTACATCTCCCCTTGCCTGGTCCCCTAGAGCTTAAAGTAAAGGTCCTCAGCTTGACACACAAGTCCCTCCAAGGCATGCCCATGCCTTTCTCTCCAGCCCCAGATCCCTCATTTCCAAGCATACACACTGGATTTTCCCAGCTAGATTCCTAATGAATGCCATTGCCATGTTTACAAGGATCTTGTCCTTTAAGAACTGGGAGCTTATGAAGAATTGAAGCACCTAAGGCAAAGTCAATTTCAGACTAGGGAACCATCTACTTGCCCACAAATCAAAATTCACTGAGTCACTTCACAGGGCCTCCTATAATCCTCTGAGAGCCAGACAAACAGAAAAAGTCCAACTAGTAGAAATATGGATTCCAAGGAGAGGACCAGGAAGAACAGGTCTGAAACCACACTTAGGTCTACGGGGCTAGATCATATAACCCTCCTTTAGAGAAGAGACCCCACTTTAATGGCATGAGCTATATTAGTCAGTGTGAATCCATACAAATCACTGTTTATGCTTTTCTCAGTATAAACTCCTTTGTTTTTAAAGGGACTTCCTCAGTAACCTGCCTCCCAGCGGATCAGGGAATAGTCCTAAACTTCGGAAGTGTTCCCCCTAGGTAGGTACAGTCTCTAAAACCCAGCCGCCCTTAAAGTCAATAAGGTTCAAAACAAGAAACCTGGCAAAATCCTCACCTGCTTCTTAAGGGGAGCAGAGACAAAAGGAAGAGGCCTCCCTCACCATGGAAACAGGAAATAGTCTAATGATTCTCTAACTCAGCCCAAGGCAGGAAGATGTGATTAACAGCACTCAGGCTCAGGCAAAGGAGACATTCTGTTCTTGCTCAGCCTGCTCCACATTTGAACCCAATTGTCTCTAGAGCACTTATCCCTTTCAAGTGGCTCTGAAGCACTAAGTGCATTTCCCCTCCACACAGTAACAGCAGCTCATCATTCACACAGTGCCCTGAGAATGAGTATCTCAGGCCAGTCTACATGTAACATCATGCTTTTGCTCCCACACTTCTTTCCAAAACCTACCAAGACACAGGGAGATGCTGTGGCTGGCTGAGAGGCTGCAGCCAAAAAGGAAAATAGGGTACTGCAATTACTCAACTCCACTTCCAAACACCAGCCCTCACTAAGTTTTGCAGAAAACTGCTATTTGACCGTGAGTGGCATGGATGCTGATATGCACAGCGTTATCTCTGCACCATGGCCTGTACTTCTGGAGAGGTGGTGCCCTGTGACTTTAGCTATGCTCACTACATTCCCCCAGCTAGATAAACTGAAAGAATTCTCACCTCACTCACACCTGGGAAAGTGACCAGAAACTCACCTCTCCAGTATCAAGCAGGCACATGGTAATAATGGGAGGGACACTCACCCGGACAAGGTCCATTTCTTGGCTGTTCTCCATGAAGGTCCAGATCTTGGGGCTGAGTTCCTCCCACATGCCTTCCAGATCATGGAACACAGCCAGTTCCTGGAAGGTCTTGTTCACCTGGAGTCAGGTGGGGAGCCAGGGACCGCAGAAAAAGGAGGAGAAGCACAGACAATGAGCGTTTGGCTCCTCCCTGAAAAGATACCCCATCACAGCAGCCCTGTGCCAGTCCTCCCCATCCCCAAGAAATGCCTGCTTGTAACTATGATTCTATACCCACGACTGGGGAGCTGGCCCAGCTCTGGTCTGCATCAGACTTGAGGTTTTCACTCTGGGAATTCCAGAAGAGCCGTGAGTATACTTAGCGCACACCTCTGAAGCTACCTTGAGTTTTTTGCCCCCAGTTCTGGGGAGATTCTGGGGAGGGAGTCTTGGGCTGGGGGCAGCTTACCTCAGCCATGACCTGCCTTGTGGCTGGAGTGTCAGGTGTATACAGGATCTTCCCAACGAGCAGCGGCTTCAGAGCTTTCCAGATAATGCGGGAAAGAGGACTAGACTCCAAATTCTTCATCAAATCATTGCAGTAAGGAGCTATGAAGAAGAGGAGAGACAAATGCTCATATGCATGGTCATATACTGATAGAAACTTACAAGGGCTTTGGAGCCAGAGAGTTCTTAGTTGAAACCCCAGCTCTACCACTACTAGTCATATAATAAGTAACTTATCTGAGCCTCAGTTGGCTCCTCTGTAAAAGTAAAATTCATAACATCTATGTGGAGAGATGTGGAGAAGATTATCTCAGATTAAACTGAGATATCTATAAAGAATGATGCTTGATAAATAATCAGAGCTTATTATAACGTCAATGACGGATAACTCACGACTGAGCTGATCTGGAAAAATGTTTTCATGAAGCACAAGCCCTCCCATCCAGATTCACACTCTCATGCCAGCCTCACCATTGTTTTCACTGACAACTAACATGACCAACATTTAAACTGACTCTTGAGGGGCAACCAGAAGGCTGAATTCAGACCTCAGTTTTCAAGCAAAAACCAAAATTTGGGGCTGGGCGCAGTGGCTCATGCCTGCAATCCCAGCACTTTGGGAGGCCAAGGCGGGCGAACCACCTGAGGTTGGGAGTTCGAGACCAGCCTGACCAACATGGAGAAACCCTGTCTCTACTAAAAATACAAAATTAGCTGGGCGTGGTGACGCATGAGGCTGAGGCAGGAGAATCGCTTGAACCCAGGAGGCAGAGGTTGCAGTGAGCCGAGATTGTGTCACTGCACTCTAGCCCGGGCAACAAGAGCGAAACTCTGTCTCCCAAAAAAAAAAAAAAAAATTCTCAACAGGGCGCAGTGGTTCACGCCTGTAATCCCAGCACTTTGGGAGGCCGAGACAGGCGGATCACGAGGTCAGGAGATCGAGACCATCCTGGCTAACACAGTGAAACCCCGTCTCTACTCAAAATACAAAAAAAAAAAAAATTAGCTGGGCATGGTGGCGGGCACCTGCAGTTCCAGCTACTCAGGAGGCTGAGGCAGGAGAATGGCGTGAACCCGGGAGGCGGAGCTTGCAGTGAGCCGAGATGGCGCCACTGCACTCCAGCCTGGGCAACGGAGCGAGACTCCCTCTCAAAAAAAAAAAAAAAAATTCTCTTTAATTAACACAAACTAGTATATGTACACTTAACAAAAACCCAAATACAAAAGTTGTAACAGACAAATGGGTTTGGTTATCCAGCAGGATCCCTGATTTTTAAAAATTCATTCTAAGTTTTTCAGGGATTTTTAGATACCAAGTATCTTCTATATGCTGGAAAGATAATAGAATTTTTTTTTTTTTAATGAGGATGCCCTCACAATTAAGTCTGTCATGGAAATGAAGGCTTCCTTGGGTCAACTTGCAAGCTGGGGGAGAGGAGGAGATGGGATTTAATTAAAGTTGCCTACAATACCATCCTTTTAAGGCTTGTAAAGCAACTTGCGAATGTCTGGAGTGCTTTACTCCAGAGAAGAAAAGGTTCTTGTGTTACAATAAAGTACAAAACCTGCCTCACTCAGTGTCTGAAAGACACACCTGTGGTTGGAAATGGAGAAAGGTTCCCCTGCATCAAGTTTTCAAGGAAAAGGATGCCACTGCCTAAAACTGTGACATTGGATCCCTGCTGCCACGAGGCATACGGCACACGGGCCCACAAAAGTGCTTAAGTGTGGGGAGTGGATATGGAGACACAGGGTTCTTTAACACTGCCTTGCAGCTAAGAATGGGAAACAAAGGGCAGATCAAATGTCTGAGTGTGAGAACACACACGCCACCACTAACAGTTATCTTAGAGAGCACAGATCCAGGCAGATTTGGGCTTGAATCCTGGCTCTTGTGGATTAACTCTGATGTGGCTCTAACCAAGGCACTTAACCTCTCTGAGCCTATGAAATGTGGGGTTAAAGAATCTTCCCTGCAGGGTTATCATGAGGGTAAAATGAGATAACTTAAACAGAATGCACAGTGCACAAGAAATTCTACTTAAATGTTAGTTCTTTGTTGTTGTTGTTGTTGCTATTATCATTACTGTTATTTCTTTTTATGTTATTATAAAGCTTATCTCAATGGTAATATTAAGACCAGTACATCATCCTTTTTAAAAATGCTTTTCTAGCTTTTTTGAGTTACAACTGACAAATAAAAATTGTATATATTTAAGGTATACAATGTGATGTTTTAATATATGTATACTTTGTAAAAGGATCACCACAATCAAGCTGTTAATAAATCCATCACCTCATAGTTGCCTTTTTTGTGTAGTGTGAACACTTCGGATCTACTCTCTTAGCAAATTTCAAGTATACTATACAGTGTTACTAACTATAGTCATCACGATGTACATCAAGATCCCAGGAACTTATTCATCATGTGAAACTGACACTTTCTACCTTACATATATTCCATATATAAGTGAGATCTTGCAGGATTTGTCCTTCTGCCATTATCTCATTCTTGATCACCCTGGAAGCCACCCTTCCACATCCCCCAGAAAACCAGAAGGTTGGCTGTCAATCATTCATTCCATTGATAAACACTACTGTGCACCTGAGATGTGCCAGGCTGCATTCAGAGAACTGGGGACAGGTAGCTATTCAAGAGAAGCCTCTCTCCTCTAGGAAGAGCTCAGTCTGGTGGGCAAATGGGCATGTAGACATCTAACGCTGCTACAGAGGGAGGAGATGACACAGGCCAAGGCCAGAACTAAGGGAGGGATGGGGTTGGGGACAGGGCTGGGGTCTGCATGGACACTCACTTGTAGAGTTGTCATAGAAGGTTTCAGCATCTTCCTCAGTGCCATTGCCTCCAAAGAGGGCTTTGTAGTTGTTGTCCTCATACCAGTTGAGAGACTTGATCTTCAGCCCCCCTCCCTCGGGATGCCCGCAGACAATACGAGACACAGCCTGGTAGATTTGGGTGGAGGAGCTGGAGCTGTTCACATTGGTCAGAAACATCACCTCCTGTCGCATGTCACTCCAGCTTCTCATGCTGAACAGCTGGCGTCAGGGATGGGGACAGAAAGGAGGGTAGGGGAAGGGAGAAAAGGGCAGTGCAAGGGTTGGGGATGAGAAGAGAAAGAAACATCTTATTTTCTTGACCTCTCAAAAGCCATGTCCCAGAACATATTTTGTCTGATGTCATCTCAAAGCCTTGGGATGAGCTTGCCAGAACCTGGCTACCCAATCTGTGGTCCAGGGACGAGCAGCATCAGCATTACTGGAGACATTGTTGGAAATGCGGATTCTGAGACCCCTCTGCCGACCTGCAGAATTCAAATCTACAGCTTCACAAGATGCCCAGGTGATTCCTATGCTCACTAAAGTTTGAGAAGCACAGCCTGGAGTTAGTGAAGCCCCTGGGGCTGGGCTTCGTTTCACCGGGATTATCTTCCAGTTTATAGATAAAAGAATGCTTTCTCTGAACAGCTACATCTCATTGTGGTTGAGCCTATCAGGAACTGCTCTCATCCTCGATAACTGACTCATTTCTAAAACTCCCCGAACTCTAGTGTAGAAATTGAACAGCCCTCTTCCGCCTTGGGAGAAAAGGTACTGTATGTGAAGTTCCCTATCTTGGTCTCAGTAAAGTGTCAGGCAATGAAAAAGCATTAAGATGAAAAACTCGAGTCTGGGCCGGGTGCAGTGGCTCACACCTGTAATCCCAGTACTTTGGGAGGTCGAGGCGGGTGGATCACCTGAGGTCAGGAGTTCAAGACCAGCCTGGCCAACATGGTGAAACCCCATCTCTACTAAAAAAATACAAAAATGTTGGCCAGGCATGGTGGCAGGTGCCTGTAATCCCAGCTACTGGGGAGGCTGAGGCAGGAGAATTGCTTGAACCCGGGAGGCAGAGGTTGCAGTGAGCCAAGCACCACTGCAATCCAGCCTGGGCGACAAAAGCAAGACTCAGTCTTAAAAAAAAAAGAAAAAGAAAAAGAAAAAGAAAAACTCAAGTCTGAACCCTAGCTATGTCCCTCGTCAGCTTACAGCCTTTGAAAAGTCACGTCATGTCTCTGAGTACTCAACTTCTCCATGCTTCACGGAGCTCGCTGAGACACAACTTGGCTTGGTTTTGGTAACCCTGGGGGGCAGTAGATGCTTATACCATGGCCTGGACACTGCCCTCTACTCATCATCAAGACAGCAAAGCTACAACAGTGTGTGGTGAGGCACAAATCCTATGCCACACAAGAGGGTGCCCTGCATAGAACAGTCCCAACAGCGTGAGTCAGAAACCCTAGGCAGTGTCTGTGACTGCCACTCAACAGGCATCAATGACCCAGGCAGCGTTCTGTCTTACATGCAAATGTATTCCGGCACTTTGTGGAGTTCTCAGCCCCAATGCTATTATGAAATATTTATAGAGTACTTTGTATTTCCAAACATTTCACAAGAAATCATTAATAAATCCCTGTATTCCTGGAAATGTCACTGCGTGTTCACACCGCCTGGGAAGACTGAGCTATAGAGCACAGAGGGGAGGGGAAGGGCCACGAGGCCCTGCACCCAGCCTGGAAAGCTCCATATGCCTAGCTTTCAACCTCACAGCCTGCTGGTTCCTGTGAGTGGCGTGGTCCAGCACTCTCTAGGTCCTAAGCTTTGCCTTCTGCCTCCAGAAGGGAACTAGGCTCTCCAGAGGTGGGTCAGAGGCCACAAGGATTTTTTTTCTCCAGAGAGGGGGCATCTAGCACACTCCACAAGAACACAATTAGGTGAGGTGGACAGCTTTTCCCAACTTTTTCTTTTCATAACCTGTACGAGGCATACAGACAGAAAGGGGACAGAGAACCAGGCCATTTTGCCTTTTGTTGCTTATTGGAACAGCCCTAGAGATTTTTAAATAACAGTGAGTCAAAACACTCACTTCTCTTTCCACAGGCAGCCTCACCACCAACCCACCACTCCCCAATCAAAAAAAAAAATTTCTTCCCACATAAAGCCAGCAAATCTTTCTAAAGAAGCACCATAAATTATTGAGTTATTCCAAACTATTGACTCTTCCCAGCACCCGTTTCAGGGGTAAACTCTTACTCTTTCTCCTACACCTCAGCTCACACTCCAAACTTTATCTGGGAAGTGCTTCCTGACTCTCAGGGAGGGATGGCTCTTCATCCTTTAGCCCACGGATGATGGTGGTATTTGAACATCATCGGTTGAGTGAATGAATGAAACTGACTTACTGCTTTCTCAATCCAGCACAATGTCCTTTGTCCTCCCTTTCCCCCATCCCAGTCTCTTCTCAACCCAACAACCAGAGTGTAAACAGTCTAAACTCTAGATCACATCATGTCCCCTCCCTCAAGCCCTCCGCTGGATTCTCATCTCACCCAGCAGGAATCCAAAGTCTTGCCAGGCCTGTATGGCACTCACCTCCTCCTGCTCTGAGCTCCTCTCCTCCCCCCACCACTTGCTCACTTTCCCTGGTCCTTAAACACATTCCTTAGGCATGCTCTAGCATCAATGTCTTTGTATCTGCCATTCTTCCTGTTCGGAGTTTCCTTCCCTCACCACAGACATGCTATCATCTCCTTCAGGTCCAACTGTCACCTTAGAGAGAGCTTTCCTAATCACCCCCTTTAAAAAAAGCACCTTCTCATGCTCTATGCCCCTTACCCTGCTTTTTCTTCACTGCATATATCCCTCCTGTGGCATTGTACACTGACCTGTTTGTTTCTGTCTCTCACCCTATACGTGCCCCAAGAAAGCAGAGAAGTTAGCGTGTTCACTGCTGAGTCCTCAACACCTAGCAATGCCAGGCAGCTGGTCGGTGCTGGGTGGACATCTGAGATGCTGCCTCCCTGTCCTCCCTTCCCATCACCCAGATGTGAAACTCAGGTCAGCTTTCATTCATCTTATTCCTCAAGTCCTCATTTCCTCCCAATTTCCAGGTTCTGCTAGTGCGTATTTTCTTTCTTGGAAGGTTCTCCTTTCTATTCCAGTCGCTACTGGAGTTTTTCACGAAGCAGGCAACAACACAGGCTTTGGAATCCAACAGTTCTGGGTTTGAATCCCAGTTTTGTCAATTAACTCATTGGGTGACTGGAAAAGTTGCCTAACCTTTCTGAGCCTTGGTGCCATCTGCAAAATGGACATGATGAGACCCACTCAGGTTTGTCATGTGGAGCATACAGGGAAATGGGTGACACTGTCTGAACCTAGGCAGCTTCTCAGAAGACATTCACTCCCTTTTTCTTTTCCTTTCAAGGGTTGTGCTTTGGTCAAAATTATCAACTTTCCACACGCTGACTGGACAAACAAGTGCATTTATTGATCTTCTCCCATTTATCTCACAGAAATAGCAAGTCAGACAATGAGTAACTTTTGATCAAAGGGATCTGGAGGTGTTCTATTGAAAGAGGCAGATGGTCCTTGCTTGTCCTGGACCAGGAGCAAGCAGGGCACAAGAAACAGCTGCCAAGAAAAACGTATATTGTTCACTTGGAGAGTTTCCACCACATCAGCAATGGGAACATCACCTGCTTCCAATTTTTTTTTTTAATGCCAGAAAAAAAAAAAAAACCAGGGCCAGTGATGTAAGTGAAAACAGCTGTAACCAAACCCTGAGTTTAGAGGCAGCCTCCCCTGTTACAGACCCTGCTTTGCTTTCTCTAAGGCCAGAAATGAACAAGGGACAGAGGGCTGCGAGGGGATCTGCAGAGCAATGCAAGGCATGTCAATGTCAGCTAACAGGGCCCTAGAGAAATAGCTACGGACTTGCAAAACAGTTTCTCTTTCTCATTCTCCCCCTGGAAGAACCCCAGTTGGTCCAGCTTCTCTACCTAGTAAAAAAGGTTACCAGCCTTCATAACCAGGGTAACAAATGGCAAGCTGAAAGAAGGCTTCTCCTCTGGAAAAGGAACCCAAAAGTCAGACCTCATCAGTCAGAAACACGTGAGCAGAATTCAAAGAAAGAAAGTAGAACAGGACAGGAAGAAATACACTAACGTATCAATAGTGTTTGATCTCAGCATTTTTGTATTTTCCAAGTCTTCAGCATTTTCCACAATGAACATGCAATACTTTCATTGTTAGAAAACATAAAGTTCGTTTTTGATATTTGAAAAAATGATGCAAGCACCAAAAAATGGGTAGGTTAGATACAAGCACCAAAAAAAGAAAAACGGATTAGAGAAGCAGCTAAAAATAAGGGTGGACCAAGTCTGAGACAATTTCCCCACAAATTATTATTTTCCAATATCCTACACGTTAAAGTCTGTATTGTTTGTGAGCACTGCCCCCTGGCTCAGCTTCCTATGCTGGGGGACACCAGACAGTTCCTCGCTTCCAAGCCTAATTTGAGACAAGGCTGGGAGTCAGAAAGGTGGAGTGTGCACTGGCTGGGAGTCAGAGCTAACTGCTTTTGCAAGTGCCTACAGGCCCTCTGATCCTAGGACAGAGATTACTCTGATACATTTGTCAACATGTGGACCTAAAAGGCAAACTCAACTTAATGTTCATTAAGAGACCATATTCCCATAGTTGAACCTCAGAAGCCAGATGCTTTCAAGGGAAAGGGCTGAATTAGGGGTACCACGTTATTCCTGTTAGTTAGCAAGCATGTGTGTTGGTAAAATGATTGGCCTTGCTACTGAAGAAGCAATATGGAGAAATTGCTGGTCAGACAAAAGCAGTGCATGGGCAGTGGCAGAGATAATTCTCCTCTTTACAAATGTATGATTACCTAGGGGCAAAAAGAAAAAATGGAGAAGGTTCTAAACTAGATATCCAGCTGTTAGCCACTAACCAATTAGCTCTGAGACATCTATGAGTTTTAGGTTTCTTCATTTCTAAAATAAGGAAATCAAAACATTATTGTTTACATCACTTATACTTTGAAAATTGATATTACATCCCATGTGATATTCAACTCAAAAGGACCTCTTGCCAGACTCAGGAATGAAAATACTGATACAGTGGATGATCCGCTTCCTGGTACTGGAAAGACACAACTTACCTCCTGGGCCAGAGTCCCAAGACTATGCAGCAATGTTTTTGTGGCTTCAGCCAGCTCCTTGCTCGGGAAGGGAGATGTAGAGTTTAGTGTTCTCTGTAATGAGAAAGAAAACTTTGTTTCTGAATTCAAATGTAAACCTGAAATCTCTATTGGAAATAAACAAGTGAATTAAAACTGTTCACAATCTTGAGTTTAACAAACAAGAAACCGACTCCTAACCAAAACTAAAGACACTACAATTATTTCTAACTGTAAGTTTGCATTTTGTTCATTTTCAAACTCATTCTTTGATTAATGGTTTTAAATGAAGTAGGAATATTGTACTTAAAACTAGTTAATATGCAATAGATTAAAAGGATCTCATGTGGGCTGGGGGGATGTGTCCAATACAACTCTGACCGCAAATTCCCAAATCTGTCTGCGTCTGCAAGATGGGTAATACGGGAATGGCTTTGAGAAACAAGTTAATGACGGCTCACAAGAAAGGAAGAAAATATAAAGTTTAAAGCTGTCAAAAATAGGGAAAGATGGAATTCTGTCACTCTGTTCAAGTCAGCACTGTTTCTAACACTGGAAATTGAATGTAGAACACTTATTTTTACATCGAGTTTTAGTCAAATCTTTATATGTACCAATTCATATATTTAATTGCTGTTATATGTCACCTAACTGCACAGCAGATATAGGACAATAATTCATTAGAACAGGGAAAAGATAAATTAGGGCAGAAAGCATAAGCTAAAGAAAAAAAAGAACAATAATTTACAGACTGTGAAGTCAGAATTGCTATAGCTGAGGAGCCTCAAGTTGGGTTCTGAGTGTTCAGGCTTCCAAAGAGAAAAAGACGTGAGATCAGTTTCTTCACTGTTATTTGTCAAGCAGGAAAAAAGTATCCAGGGAAAATCCACCTTTCTTGATGTTTCTATGAGCATTGTTTTATTCAATATCATATCAGACATCTCTGAAGTTTAGAGAAGGTTGGGCTATTTTGACATTTGTCATATCAGAGACTGCTGTGAAATTATAATGTAGACTACACAAGAAAATGTCTAGAAGTGGCTGGGACTCACTATCTCTGAGAAATAGCTGCCTGGGATGTTTTCTTTCAAAGAGAATTCCAAATGCAGAAGGGATTGAGTATCATTCTGATCATCACAATATCCAAGCATAATCCTCAATGTGCATTTCTAAGAAAACCTGCCTAAAGGTTCTATGAAAGAACTTGTCCAGCTCATTCATCTCTTCTGGAACGGGTTCTTCACCAGAGTCCCAGGACTCCCACATTCACAGTCCTCAAAGGGACCTACGCGGTCTCCCTTAAACGTCAGACTCAGATAGGCCTCTGTGATACGCAGAGGTGTTCATGATTGTTCCTTCCATAGAGAGTAATTCATGAGCAAAAACAGGTGAGGTGTTTTGTTTCTACTTTCTCTCTTTGGGTTCACTTTATAACTAAAGGTTAACACACTAGAAGCCGAACCTAGGGAGAACTTGCCTGGAAAACTATTACAAACACAAACTGAGAGATCTTAATTGAAAGCTATAGGAGGTAAAGTGTTTTTGTGTTTACCGTTAGGCCTACAAGATGACAGATGTTCAAGACAGCATAGCAAAAACAAAACAAACCCAGGACAAAACAAGAAACGCCAGATCCACATAACCTAAATTTAAGAAAAACTTAAAAACGTGGTAGTTAATCCACTTCTTTTATAAGGACTCAATGGAAATAAGATTGTTAGGATTCTTGTCACTCACTCTCCCCCGCCACCCTGTGCCCCAATTCTCCAGTCATGGGAACCTGGGGTAGCTATAGAACCCTGGGCAAATGACTCAAATTCCCCATCCTTCCATTTTCTCGACTATGCAGCAAAGTTTAAAATGCTGTGCACATATCACAGAGTTTTTATAAGCACTAAAACTAGAGGATATGTACAAAGCCCCTCGCACAGTGCCTGGCACATGGTAATTCCTCACAATTGTCAACAATGTCATCCCCTGCCTTTTTCTTCCCTTGCATGAAAGTTTACTGCCAAAACTGGAGGGCTTTTGTCTGCAAACAGGGTTTTCAACTTCTTAAAAAGACAAACATCCTTTCTCTGTTTCTCGGCAAGGTCTTAAACTTTTTCTTCTATTGAAATGTCCTTCCTCTGCTAGGCAGAGAGCTAGAGCTATCATCACACAGCATATCAGCCACACTCCAATGTGCTGTCTCTAATTGTATAATTACTCCCCACCACAAGGTGAAGACATCCTCATCCTGATTCCTGAAGGCTTGGGATAAAATGCCTTTCTCCCCTTCTAACCCTTTTCTTTTACTGAGCATTTGCCAAACGGCAAAATAAAAGATAATACTAAGTGGATGAAATATACATGATATGCATAATAGGTTGTGTATAGATATACTATATGCATCCATGTATGTTTTTACGTATATGTCTATATGTATAGACATACATACACACATATATCTTACACATATTAACTGGCCTCAAAGTTGACATTTCAGTTGAAAAACCTGAAGGAAAACTCAATCCCTATGGTAGGTATGTGTATACTTATATGTGCACACACACACACATATACATCTTTATCTTAATGTATATTCATTATGTACCTTCTCTTTAAAGCAGGTGATGTTTTTACAGCAGTGGTATAGCTTCCCTTGTAATTAAATTTAATTATCCAAAAGAAGTGACTTAATTTAAAAAATATATTAACTAAAAATGCTACCAGCTGCACTTGAATATGACCAAAATCATGGCAGAATTGTAAATGACTGGGATTCACTAACACTGTGAGGTTTGGGGAGCTACTGTATCAGAATCACCTGTGGTGCTTGTTAAATATGCAGATTCAGGCTGGGCATGGTGGCTCACACCTGTAATCTCAACACTTTGGGAAGCCAAAGTGGGTGGATCACCTGAGGTCAGGAGTTCAAGACGAGCCTGGCCAACACGGCGAAACCCCCTCTCTACTAAAAGTACAAAAATTAGCCAGGCATGGTGGCATGTGCTTGTAATCCCAGCTACTAGAGAGGCTGAGGCAGGAAAATTGCTTGAACCTGGGAGGCAGAGGTTGCAGTGAGCCAAGATGGCGCCAATACACTCCAGCCTGGGCATCAGAGTGAGACTCGGTCTCAGAAAAAAAAAAAAAAATGCAGATTCTCAACCAGCTAACACCTACTGAATGAGAAGTTTAAGAGTGTGATCCAGGAATCCTCAGGAGACTCTTTTGAGCACTGAGGTTTGAGAACCAGCACCATGTTCACAAAGCCTCCCTTCCCAGTATGCTTTGCGCCAACGTGCTTGGTGGTATATTCTGTGTCTGGTCCGCATACTACAATCTGCTTCAGACTCTGAAGCAGTGAAGAGGCCACTCGGTTCACCTGGCCCTGAGTAGGACCCAAGATGGTGCCAAACACATGGGGTGCCAGGTTTGTCACACCAATTAGATACAGTAGTCACCAAGTGCAGATGTTTCTAAAAACCCCAAACCCAACATTCACCCATTGTCACCATTACCGGTCATCTGTCTCCTGAAGGGTACAAATCAGTGAATGGGTCTGTTGTTTGTATAAAAGGTCTTCTCCAACTTAATGAATTTACATCTTCAAGGGCAATAGTTTTTCCAACATCTTTAGGACTTTTAGTTTAAATTTCTTAACTCTGGAGCAAGCTTATTCTCCTTCTCTTAAAAGCCCCACACTTCAGCAAAACTCCAGGCACACAGCAGGGCCTAAAGCATGACTGTTTAACCCAGGAATGTAATTGAGCATGGATGTAAACATAGGTCCTTATTAAGTTTGCTGTGGGCATCAGATTTTTACATTAGCAGACACAAATTCAATGCCATATCTTATGATATGACCTTCTTATCAGTAGTCTGTATGTTGGGTTTGACTGCTTGTTTAATTTGACTGTTTTTGGTTTTGGTCTCCAACAGAAACATTGGCTGAACCCACCCATGAGTAATAAGGTAGAACAGTCAATGCCATTGTTAGAATCATTTTTAAACTAGTTCTTTATTCGAGATTAAGTGCTCAGCATTTACTAATAATATTGGCAATCTGTAGTCAATATAAACAAATTTCCATTTTCAAAGGAATATTGGTTGGAGTTACACAATCAGGCATGGATTGACATCACAGGGTTAACAAAACACACATGATTCAAATTCTACATCAAGTTTAAAGCTTGGATTATCCAGATATTTTGCTCATGACTTAATTTTACTTTTCTGTGCATCCAAAACATACCATAACCTGAAAAAATAAGCCAAAGACTAGAAGCATGGATTTTTAAAAGTTTAGTATAAAAATAGAATACTATGGCAAAAATTAACCAGATTCCACATGTATCAACATTGATAAATCTCAAGAACATAATTCCAAATGAAGTGGCAGGCCAATATGCACACTTATACAATGTGAACACATTTAGGCCAGTACCAAATATTGTTATACATAGAATGTAAGTATACATGATATAGAGGATTAAAACATCCAACTGCAAGACAAGAGTTATCTCTGAAGAATGAGCTAGGGAAACAGAGGTGGCATCAGCTGTACCTGTAATGTTTTATTTCTTAAATAGAACCTGGAGTCAGCACGGCAAAATGATGGATGATGGTACAGGAGTGTTCTTTTTGTTTGTTTGTTTGTTTGAAGACGGAGTCTCACTCTGTCACCCAGGCTAGAGTGCAGTGGTGTGATCTCAGCTCACTGCAACCTCCCCCTCCTGGGTTCAAGCAATTCTCCTGCCTCAGTCTCTCACGTAGCTGGGATTACAAGTGCACGCCACCATGCCTGGCTAATTCTTGTATTTTCAGTAGAGGCAGTGTTTCACCATGTTGGCCAAGCTGGTCTCCAACTCCTGACCTCCAGTGATCTGGCTGCCTCAGACTCCCAAAGTGCTGGGATTGCAGGCGTGAGCCACCACACCCAGCCAGGAGTGTTCTTTATGTTATTCTCTGTACCTTTTTTCATGTTGAAACTATTTCATAATTTTCTTTTTAATTCAATGAAAAGATAAAAGAGGAAGGACAGGTGAGCAGGAAGAAAGGAAGGGTAAAGAATCTATGTTGGCCTGAGCACATATCAGATCTAACAGACAGATAACTTCCTTGAATAAAATTAACCCCAGGAAAGAATTCATGCCTTGAAACTAGAACACAAAATACGGTCTGAGAATCATGTGTCTGCACCTGCTATTAACTGTGCTCTCCTGCTCATGCTTACTTGACGAAGGCAGACAAAACTTGCCAAATCCTATTTCCAAAGAGCTTCAGTAAAAAATTCACAGCTTGGAATTCCTACTATTATTTTTCTAACCAAAAACATTCTCTTGGCTATGAACTCACATAGGTCTCCATTGCACCCAGGAGACAAGTGACTTTCTTATACGAAGTAAAGGAAATGGGAAAAAGAAGGAAAATAAAACCTTTAGTGAGGGACTATATTTTCTGAGTTAAGATAACAGGAATTCATGTATGACTCAATATTTTCAGATCATAACTGTAATGTCATTACAGGAAGAATGCACAAATGCTTACTGTTATTATTCAAAAGCTCCCACCCACTTCTGCAAAATGTGTTAATCACAACATACCATGTTTCCTAAAAGCATGGCATTCTGTGACATTGGCCCCAGAAAGATAAAGGCTGTTGTGCCCCATTCTTTCTGGGTCTAAGAGATGGCTTCATTATATTCTTTCCATCCTCATGAACTTAGTTCTGCTCCAAAGGCCATTCACATTCACAGAAATGCTCTGTTTCGTATTCACCTCATCAAGTCACTCAGCCTGTGGAGCCTTTAATGGCTCCCTTTACTCTGAGGATAAGGCCCTATATCCTCACATGGCTCGTGAAGAAAGACCTGCCTCAGCCGACCTTTGCCCACCTCTGCAGGCATCACGTCTCATCGTTCCTTCTCCCATCAAACTCCCCACAGCTATATCTGCTCCATGCTGAACTATCTCAATCAGGTACAGTTCCCCTAAATGCCACCTTCTCTTCCCTCTCCTCTCTGGACCAATGCATATACTATGTCCTCTACCTGGAACATTCTACTCCCTGTTCTTTACCTGGCTGACATCCATTCTTTAGGTCCCCACTTAGAGGATGTTTCCTTCCTGACTGGAAAGACTGCAGTAGGAGGCCCCATCAGGGACTGTATCACACCCAGCAGAGCGTCTCCTGCTCTATACGGCAGCTGCTCCTTTCCTGGTCTGTCCCACCCATTCCCCAACCAGGAATGAAACAGAGAGGGCTGGACCTTGCACATGACTACCTCCCTGGGCCAGAGCATGGCACTGATTAGGGCTCAGTAAATGTTTACTAAATGAATGAATGCATTTGTTAATCCATTATCACTACACGAAATGAACACTGGAAGATAATATTACAATGCATTAGGAGTCACAGCCAAATAGAAGTAGAAAACACATCTGTGCAATTAAAATGCAACTGAAAATATTTTCAACTTATAAAAATCTCATCTACATCTAAATTTTTCAGGAATTCTATGACAAAATGAGACGTGGGTATACATATATTGGAATAGTATTTTCAACACAATACACAATTTTGTTTTCCTCCTGGGAATGCATGTTACAATGTGTTCATTGAAACATTTCAAATGTCCTTTAAATATCTTCATAAAGTAGACAAAAATCTCTACTTCACTTTGACCATATGCAAAATCCAACTCAGGCTGGGATTAGTATGTTTTAGTTCAAACTGAAAACAAGTAAACCACAAATCAAAGACTATCACCACCCAGGAGTAATTGCTATCTCTTTCTGGTGATTTCTATGACAGTAAAGATTTCCTCTGGGAAACATTTTAATATTTTTTATTGAAATACGAAATTATAAGACTACATTTCTAAGGAATATTCTAATCTTTTAAAAAATAAATCAACAACCTAAATATTAACTTTCAAATTAGATGTGTTTAACGCATTCAAACGCTTCATTTTTTGCTGTTTCTAAACATAGTTAAATACATCTACTACCACATAATTCAGAGGAAAAAATTAAACCTGTATCTTAGATCTGGCAACAATATTTAATGAAGAAATAGTATAACTAAGGTGAAAATGTCTGTGTAAATGGAGTTGAGCAGTCATATTAACACACTGCTATATCTACCAGCTAGTGCTCTTCTTTTCCCATAAGAATGAGGTGAACATAGAGTCTGAAGAGTAAATCTACACAGTGTGTCATTCCACCCATTACCAACCCATGGGGATTGCGGCTGCTTGCTGGGAGAAAGCAAGTAAACAGGTGGGCAGTCAAATCACACAAAGCCAAACAAAATCTGATACTTTCCAACAATGTCCGGGTTCCAGACAGGAGAACACGAGCAAGTGTTCTCTCCTGCAAAAACCCACACAGACGCTTTAAGGACTGCATGTAACAAGCTGAAGTATCTAGCCCTAAAAAGCCATGAGGCTGAAGGTAACAACAAGCCCCATCTGTATTCTGGGTCCTTGTCTAAGAGTCAAGAAGAAGCTAAATAAAGACCCCTCAAGACAAGGATGACTTTGTTCACTCCTTATCCATCTGCTTCTTCGATCTGTACACAGCTCAGCTGTGACATTACTTGTCTTCTGGGAGCCTCGGGGCACCCTCACTTTCCCTTCTTTCCCTCATGAACCAAGATCCACTTGGTGGGAATGTGCTAGGCACACTGGAAGACACGTGGACAGTGGAACCACTGGTTCCACAAAAACCACTTCTTTTTTTTCCCCACGTTATTGAGATGGAGATAAATCTGCATGCCTGGACTTCCAACCTTAAGGATCAGACACCATTTTCACATCACTGAGGCAATGGTGAGTCAAGGACAGAGCCCAAACCTAGCTCATTCAACCCCACATTCCTCCCACTACAGCCCACAGTGTCTGTGTTGGCAAAGACTGCTGTGAGGGAGCTGGTCGAGAGGTCATCAGTGAAACTGGAACGAGGACAGCTCTCACTCTGTAGACCCAGGACCTACAAAGAATTCCTCAAATTCCCAGACTCAGCCTTCAGCCTGGATCTCAATGCCCATCAGAATGAAAGCTCCAAGTGCATCACAACTGCCTTGTTGGTGGTCGAACTTCAGTGCCTAGAACAGTGCTGGTATAAAGCAGACATACAATAAACACTTGATGGATTTTTTTCGATGAATGTCTCATACCTAGTTCAGAGATGTTCTCCTCCCAAAGTCACCTCTGTTTGGTTTGTACATTAAAAACCCTAATAGGTGATGCTTATTATGCTTTAGAGTCACTTTCCAAATATGGGCAAGAAAAAGCAGAGAGCTGCAGAGGGGTCAACAAAAGCCAAAGGCACTGAGGGAACACTTCAAATATATGATAAACTATTCCTTCCAATCAAGAAAGCTACAGCAGACTGAATATCCCCTGCAAAGATGTCCACACCCTATTCCTGGAGTCTGTGAATATGCACATTTCATAGCAAATGCACTGTGTAGATGTAATTAAAGTTATGAACCTCAAAATAAGGAGATTATCCTGGATTATGTGAATGGGCCCAAACTAAACACCTGAGCCCTTAAAAGTAAAGAACTTTCTCTGACTGGAGACAGATGTGACAGGAGGCGTCAGAGGTTTAAAGTGTGAGAGATACTCAACCCACTTGTGGGAGAGGAGTCACATGAAAAGCATAAGAAGGAATGATGGCAACCTTTAGGAGCAAAAACCAGCCCCTGCTGACAGCCAGCAAGGAAATGGACTTCAGTCCTACAACTGCACGGGACTGAATTCATCTGATATCCTGGATGAGCTCCAAAGCAGATTCATCTTCAGAGCCCCCCCAAAAAAACACAGCCCCACAAACACCTTGATATCAGCCCTGTGAGCCTCTAAGAAGTAGACCTAGGTGAGCTCTACTGTATCCTGGCTTCTGGCCTTATGAAATAATAAATGTATGTGGTTATAAACTGCTAAGTATTTGGTGACTTGTTATAGTAGCAATAAAAAAAAAAAGTACAATCGGAAGCAAATCAATCTCTCGGGCCAAAATTTGCTGGTCCACTACTATGGCTCCTTCCTGCAGTCCAAAACAGATTGGAGGTTTCTGTGAGACAGGAAGGTGGCCCTCTCCTCGCTCTGGGAAAGGTACATGCTGCTTTAGGAAGGACCCAAGAGAAAGTTAAGAAAAGTTCACCTGCCCAGCACACTCTACAGCAAAATACACCTTGCTGAGCAGCAAGACAAAAGAAGCCCCTGCCAGGTGGCCCTGAGCTCCTCCTAGAAGTTGTTAACTCAACAGTACAAATACAATGAGCGCACTCCATAACAAGTCTCCCTCATGACTAAGTGCATTTATCCCACAGATAATATTTCATATATCCACCCACCTTTGTTCTCATCAAAAGGATATCTTTTGAGTTGAGTCCAGCTCCTAGAAAATACCTGACACATAATAAGAACTGAATAAATATTGCTCAATGCATGAGTAAGATTTTTAAGTAAAAAGCAGAGAACACCTAATGGAAACTGCTCTTAACCCCAGGGAACTTTAAAAACACAACAGCGTTCTGACATCCAGTATTAATTTTCACACAAGGTACGGACTGAGACATAAATAAGAATCTTTGGGTGAAAAGTCTTGACAATATCTGAGCAAGAATGCAGTTTTTCACTGAAATACTCACCAGGACCACTTCGCTTGGTATGAGTTCTAACACTGATCTACAGAAGAAAACTTCTATCTTTTTTTTCTTTTTCTGAGACAGAGTCTCACTCTGTCACGCTGGCTGGAATGCAGTGGAGTGATCTCAGCTCACTGCAACTTCCACCTCCTGGGTTCAAGCGATTCTTGTGCCTCAGCCTCTTCAGTAGCTGGGATTACAGGTGTGCGCCACCACGCCTGCCTGGCAAATATGTGTATTTTTAGTAGAGAGGGGATTTCACCACGTTGGCCAGGCTGGTCTTGAACTCCTGGCCTCAAGTGATTCATCCGCCTCGGCCCCCACAATATGCTGGGATTACAACAGATGTGAGCCACTGTGCCTGGCTGAAAACTTCTATCTTGACGCAATTGTTTTCAAGGACATAATTTCTACTACTCATGTCAATTAAATTATCAACTTCTATTTATTGAGCACCTATTGTGTGCCAGGCCCCACACCAGGCTCTTCATATGTGTAACCAATAATCACAACAAAGAGTCAAATATATTATGTGTATGTAGAAGAAGAGAAAACTGAGGCTTACAGGGACTAAATAATTTATCCGACATCAATGCTGGTAAAATATTCAAATGCAATATTCAAACCCAGACCCAGCTGACCCTCCCACACTGCCATACTTTCCCCATGTTGCCAAAACACTGCTTTCCAGAGCACCCAGATTCTGAAGGAGGCCCAGGAGAAACTCACAATACCCTTGGCTGGAAACAGGGAAACACTCACGCACACACAAAAGGAGAAATGTTTCAAAATATGTCTCTCGTGAAATTCCACTTTTGGTACAGAAGCACATATTGAAAGAAGAGTTTCTCTCCCCATCATGTTGGGCTTTGCATCTCCGGTTGCTGCTACTGCTGCACTTCTTGGCACAGTTAACTGCCCATGTGCAATGTCATCACATGTCACATCCATCTACCATCACAAATGTTGAAATTTCAACCAAGCAGCAATAGAAAAAGGCTGCTTAATGCAAATCAAGTATCAGTCCCAGCATTCCAATTAAGGCCCTGCTTAATTCAATAAGTAAGAGTCACATTTCAAAATGTTTGGAAGTCATTTCATCCTAAAGCCTTCCTCAGAAATCATCTTTACACAAAACAATCCTGATCACTCATTCTACTCTAACTCAAGAGCCCCATTTTGAAGAGAGGTCTCTTGGTAACAGCAGAGGGGCAGAAGCAGAACCTGAGTGCTCCACAAACCCGAGATATGCAGAAAGCACCTGGTAGTAGCCACCTTAATCAATACCTGGTCATAAACCAACGCATCCACAAGGCACAACCACAACACAGCAGGATGGGACACAGTGTAGCTGACGGTTCTGAAGGTGCATTTCCCTGCACTCTGTCACGCTGCTAATCCTCCCAGAGAGATACTGTCAGGTTGAAACCTGAGCTGTTAATTATCAGATGATGAGGGCTAAACAGTCATTCTACTATGAGTATAATTCAGGCATTGTGTGAGTGGAGGGATTTTACCGGGTTGTGTACACAATAGGTGTTTAATGAGTAAACAGAAGTGAAATGGAATGAATGGGCACAGCACCGGAACAAATTACAATGTCTTCTAAAAACACCCATCTTTTCCAAAATTTCAATCATTCCAGCTGAAAGGGTGAGCATTTGTCATGCAGTGAAGCAGCCCAAAACAGTCCAAGAAAATGGTTTTGTAACAAAGTTTTGTACCATTCATAATAACCTTTCACCCTCTATGATTCACAGCACAAAAAAGACCAACAGGCTGCAAATGTCTGCACAAGTCAGCTTCTCTAACTTTTTAGGCCAGTTACTTAGGGTTGCAAAGATCCCTGTAGAGAAATATACCTTACTTTAAAATTATAACATGGGACCAGGCACGGTGACTCATGCCTTTAATCCCAACACTTTGGGAGGCCGAGGTGGGCAGATCACTTGAGCTCAGGAGTTCGAGACCAGCTGGGCAACATAGTGAAACCCTATGTCTACTAAAAATACAAAAAATAGCTGGGCGTGGTGGCAGGTGCCTGTAGTCCCAGGTACTCGGAGGCTGAGGCATGAGAATCACTTAAGCCTGAGAGGCGGAGGTTGCAGTGAGTCGAGATCGCGCCACTGCACTCCAGCCTGGGCAACAGAGTGAGACAGATCTCAGCTCACTGCAGCCTCCACCTCCTAGGCTCAAGCGATCCTCCTGCCTCAGCCTCCCGAGTAGCTGGAATTACAGGTGCCCACCATCACGCCCGGCTATTTTTTGTATTTTTGTAGAGACAGGGTTTCACCATGTTGGCCAGGCTGGTCTCAAACTGCTGACCTCACGTGATCTGCCCGCCGTGGCATCCGAAAGTGGTGGGATTACAGGCGTGAGCCACCACACCTGGCCGATACAAAAACTTTTTGATGGTCAATCAAAGGTATGAATCCTGAAGTGTGTTTCTAAGGTCACATTCTAGGGTATGATCTGGGAACAGGGTCCAGAAACTGAGTATTCTTAATTCTCTGGGAGGACCAACTCTCTATAAAGAATTCGTGCTGCACAAAATCCAAGAGTATTACAATTTCATTTTATTATAATAAGGAACATCTCTTTCCAGATACATCCTTCCTCCAGGAATCTTTCCCTGGTTTTAAGAGAATCTATCTGGTGAGTAGAAAACCAGAATCCTGGATATTAAATGATGATGTTTGGGGTAGCGAGAGGAATTTCACCAGAGCTCTCAGAACACCTAGAGACATATTTGTTCTGGAACTATATAAAACACTCTGATGACCAAACTGCTCAGGCTCACCAGTATTTTTTGGTTAAGAATGAATGGGTATTCTCATAGAGTGCTTCTCTGAACTATTGATTCCTAGGCTGAAAAAACTTCGTCGGAATTTTTCTTTGCAATGTTATTACTAAGTAAGCTAAATAGTGTGGTCTCATCTAATTCCAGGGCCTTCCAACTGTGACAGCCCACAATGTCATCTTTATGATGGGTTTTTAAACATAAATAGATATCCATCTTCCCATCAATGGTTTCAAGACTTTTTTTTTTTAAATATGAAGAACTCTGTTTTCAAATGAGCTCTTGCTTAGTATTATAATAGTAAAAACATGAAAAAGCAGGTCTTCTCTGATTGAAACAAGCACAAAAAACTTTTGGCTTAAACTCAGCCACACCCAGCTTATTCTTCCCATTCACCCTTTGGGAGATGGCCCAAAAGTCTGAAAGAACACTAAGAACACTTAGAATACCACTGAACTAAATTATATCACAAACTCCCAGCCAGCCGTACTTTTCTACAAAACAAAGTCATGCTGTCCAAGGAAAAGCCTCACATTCCGAAAGCATTAGTGCTTGAAGTTTCTCCAGTGAGCAAGTCTACTCACCAGGATTGGCTTCAGGATGTCCATGTTGGAACGAAGTACTCGCTCTGCTGCAGCCAGTTTCTCCCTTGGTAGGCCACAAAGCTCAGAAACTTCTTGGTCACCAAGTTGAATCATCTCTTCTGATTTTGATCCATTGCACAGACTTGTCAAATGTAACTGGTAGCCTTGCAAAAATACCTGGAAGCATTTCATGCAAAGAGAGACAAGCACAAGAGGATTATGAAGATTGGAAGCTGGGTCCTTGAAGTCTTTTGGAGAACTTCATATCAATACAGCTTTGAAGATCTTAAAACAGGTTCCATTGCAACAGTCCAATGCATCAGGTCTCTTTACTGAAACTCAGAATGTATCAAAGCACAAGGCACAATGACAGGACACTTAAAACCTGCAAGTTGCATTAACTCAGTATCTCCCACACTCTTGTCCCTCTTGCAAAGAAAAATCCAGAGTCCAACTCGTTTTCTTAAGAGTGGGACACATGATTTGGCAAACAGGAATCCAGAGTCTGAATTCCTGGAACCACTTTTATTAGATGAACAACATCCTCACTATTTTGCAATTTATGTTGTCTTTAAGTAGGACTGGGCTGAAATATGGGGAGAAAGCATTTATGCTATTTATCTGTAAGTGTAGATATTTAACTAAGACACAGAACTATGTTCTAACAATTTCAGAATTTGGAATTCTCCATTTTACTTGCCCTAGAGCAGAGTGCCAGAAAGCCAGGCCTCTTATCTCATTGATAGGCCAATTCTAAATCATTCTTATCTTTTCTTTATACCAAACCCACTAGAGAGCCTCTTCTTGGTCATATTTTACTTAATTGCCTTTCTGGACCTAAACTATTCTACTTCATACGTGGTCCAGTGGACCACAAGCTTTGAAAGAAGAGCCTGTTTATCCTGCTCACTTTGCATCCACAGTGCTGAAACATTATAGCCAGTATTTGTTGAAGGAATGAACAATGCAGACTCTTTATTACACCATTACTAACTGCCCTGTTTAAATTGGGGCAGGCTGATGTGCTTGTAGAACAACCTAAGGTGAGTGATGGACCAAAAGCCTCTCAAAACCCATGCAGCTTTTGAAATACTGCAGAACATTTGGCCTACCATGATTCCCATTAAGTTTTTGCTGACTGCCAGAGATACTCAAGCACACTTCAGTTCTACTCATTTCTTTAACTGGTCCTTGCTGCTAGGCTGTCAGCCTACAGTTAGTGTCTATGTTTAAGAATACTGACAACAGGCCGGGTGCAGTGGGTCATGTCTGTAATTCCAACACTTTGGGAGGCCAAGGCAGACGGATCACCTGAGGTCAGGAGTTCAAGACCAGTCTGGCCAACCAACATGGTGAAACCCCGTCTCTACTAAAAATACAACAATTAGCCAGGTGTGGTGGTGCATGCCTGTAATCCCAGCTACTCAGGAGGCTGAAGCAGAGAATCACTTGAACCTGGGAGGCAGAGGTTGTAGTGAGCTGAGATCACGCCACTGCACTCCAGCCTGGGTGACAGAGCGAGACTCCAACTCAAAAAAAAAAAAAAAAAAAGAATACTGACAACGGAGGGCCTTTGTTGATGTCATCTTCTGCCTCTGCCCAATCATGCTTTGTTCCCTTTCCTTTCCTTACACAAGTATTGATCCCAAGAATTTTTCAATAAATGTCTTGTATGCTCAAAAAAAAGAATACTGAAAATACAGAAACTCCAAGGACCATCCAAGGACCATCTCCATGCTTAGGATGCCCCTTATTTTAAACTGATTAGATGTGACAGATATGAAATTGGCAGGGGGCAATGGAAATTATGCTAAATGCAACTACTTTCAAAAGCCTGATGCCTTTGGCCCATCTCCTAACCACACAATTGGTAAACACAAGGCATATTTTCCTAGTTTCAGAAGGGCACGCAGTAAGCACATTTTTCTAATTTTAAAAATTCTAGATCATGTGAAGCAAAAAGCTTATTTTCAAGAATAAACATTTCCACTACTTCTGCTTCTTGTAAAGACAAGCTAGTATGCAGACACGAGATAGGGGAGGAAGCAGTTCCCCTTTCTGCCAGAGAATAAGCTCAAAAAGTGTCTCTGAAAAATCAATAACCATGCAAGCTGGGTCTGGTGCTACCCACTGCACAAGAGCTGTCTAATAATGATGCCAGAGGAAGTTTTCTATGATTCTAAAGTTAAAATTCAACATAAACACTAATATTATTTCCTGATTTTATAAAATTCTTTTTTTTTTTTTTTTTTTGAGATGGAGTCTCACTCTGTCAGCCAGGCTGGAGTGCAATGGCGTGATATTGGCTCACTGCAACCTCCGCCTCCCAGGTTCAAACGATTCTCCTGTCTCAGCCTCACGAGTAGCTGGGACTACAGGAGCATGCCACCACGCTGAGCTAATTTTCATATTTTTAGTAGAGACAGGCTTTGCCATGTTGGCCAGGATGGTCTCGAACTCCTGACCTCAAGTGATTTTCCCGCCTTGGCCTCCCAAAGTGCTGGGATTATAGACGTGGGATTACAGACCTTTGAAGTGATCTCGTCCATCCCACCTGAGCTTTGTGACACTAGTCCGTTCATTTCTGTTTCCCCAGTGCCATCTCACAGAGCTAAAATTGGAGAGATTTAAAGCCTTATTCCCACAAGCTGCAGGGACTGATCTCCTATTTAATGCAAAGCAAGCAACAGTTCTCAACTCAGTGCCACTGCGTCCAGCCCTTATTTTATAAAATTCTTAAAAGTCTCCAAATACACCCTTGTCTAAAGTCTCCTGTCCTCAATTTTTTAGACAGAGCTCCTCCAGATCAATAACCCTTAACCACGGTTATTGCCTCAGAACTGTGAATATTTTTTAAGTTTAACTCAACTTAAAATGTATCCCTTGTAGGAGGAAATCATCACAAATGCCAAGTGATAAGCCAGAAATCAATTTTATTTTAACCAGCTGGCCCATGACGCCAGGTTGCATATTCCACTCCTGGATGGTTTGGCAATTCCTGCCTGAATAGGGAAGTAAAATTAAGTGAAGTTGTATTCAAACTACCTCCCTCCCCTTCACCACCATTACAAGGACAAGGGTTTATTCATTTCTTTCCAGTAGCTGCACAACGTAATTGCCATCAGCCCTACTGAGGAAGCTGGAGGCATCAGCTTACCTTGTGGAGAATGACATCAGCCCTCAGCATCTTGTCCACAGTAGACTTTGGGAGAGAGAGGTTGTGATACAGGAACCCAGAGAAGGTTTCATTGTCCACCAGGAAATCTTGAAGCTTCAAGTCTATTGAGAAATAGTGTTTTATTTTTATTTAGTAAGTAACTCAAAAAAAAAAAAAAAGTGGGCACAATGGGACAGTGGAGAAACGTTATCATAATATTGATGATCAACAGTTGCCTGGCTAAACACACACAGGAATGAGATAGGGGAGCATCGCCATATCAGGAGAGGCATGAAAATATTGCTTTCTGGTAACATGTTGAGCCACACTCAGCATGTGCTCCTCAACTCAAACAGTGTGATGGTGCTGTTACACACACACACACACACACACACACATACACACACACACAGCCTTTCCTTTTCTTTTTTTTTTTTTATTTTGAGACGGAGTCTCACCCTGTCACCTAGGTTGGAGTGCAATGGTGGAATCTCAGCTCACTGCAACCCCCGCCTCCCGGGTTCAAGAGATTCTCCTGCCTCAGCCTCCCGAGTAGCTGGGATTACAGGTATGCATCACCATGACTGGCAAATTTTTTTTTTTTTATCTTTAGTACAGACAGGGTTTCACCATGATAGGCAGGCTGGTCTCAAACTCCTGACCTTGTGATCCAACCTGCCTTGGCCTCCCAAAGTGCTGACAGTACAGGCGTGAGCCACCATGCCCGGTCTTTCTCTTCTAAATGATCTCACCCACCCCACCTGAGCTTTGTGGCACTAGTCCGTTCATTCCTGTCTCCCCACTGCCTTTTCACAGAGCTAAAATTGGAGAGATTTAAAGCTTTATTCCCACAAGCTGCAGAGACTAATCTCCTGTTTAATGCAAAACAAGCAATGGTTCTCAAACTTAAGTATGCATCAGAATCACCTGGAGAGCTTGTTAAAATGCAGACTGCCGGGCCGGGCCGGGCCGGGCCGGGCCGGGCCGGGCCGGGCCGGGCCGGGCCGGGCCGGGCCGGGCCGGCCCCCACCCCCACCCCCACCCCCACCCCCACCCCCACCCCCACCCCCACCCCCAGAGTTTCTGATACAGCGGCCCTGGGATGCGACTGGAGAATCACTTACAGGTGATGCTGATGCTGCTGACCTGGGGACCATGTTTTGACAAACACTGGCAGAGTGCATTACGCATATCAAAGTGCCTTCACAGACATGGTCTCATTTTCATTCCAAACATAAAACATGTGATACAAAGCTCCAAAACCCAGGTCTGCCAGGCTTTAGGAAAACACATTAACATATATTTAAACCATCAGCCCTATTAAATGATTTGATTGCTAAAGGATTTCATACGGAATCTCCCTAAATAATAGGCCCTCTGAGTACAGTTAGAAAAGGCTTCAATCCAGTGCAACAAAACAGAAAAAGCAGCACTAAGAATCCAGAATTTTAGTTTCTAGAGTTGGAGGCTGTGTCTGGTGGCGTCCCTGCGTACCTCATGTCATCTTTCTGAACCTCAATTTCTTGATCTCCAAAATGAGAGGTTTCTGACCAGATGCTTGGTAGGAGCCCTATGACTCCGAAACAGTATAGTTTTCCCTGACTCATCTCATTTGGCTGTCTACCTCTTCTCCTTCCAACCCACTCTCCTAACAGCCTAACTTCTTTGTAATAAAGATAAAACCAGCTCATCAGGACCACATGAACTGAGCCCACATGGCCAGGCACTAAGCAACCTCTAGAGGGCAAACTTTGCAAACTGAAATCATTTACCAGAAGAGAAACAGGTTTGATCTGAAAATGGGGCTACAGTGTGAGGCTTAATGAGGACAGGAGTTAATCCGCGGAGCTAAGAGGGTCACATGCAGAGATAAAGTAACAGGAGGGCCTGACAGCCCAGCCAGTCTCTCATAAATGCTGTATGATCCAGGTGTATTCTGCTTTAGGCAAACTTCAGTAATATTGAGTTATATAGACAGAATAAATTGAGCAAGATTTACATCGCTAGAGAAATGATTCACTGCTACCCCTCTATGGCTAGCTCCTAGTTATTCCTCATGACAGCCAGTAGCTGTTCTTAGGCCCAGTTAGTGTCCCTCAGAATCAGTGCTCCTGCAAACTGCTACCTACCTGATGCTTCCCATCACATGTGACTCTACACTGTTAGCATTAGGCTCTCTACTGCAGTTGTCAAACCTCAGAGCACCTAAGCTTCATTTAGGGAGCATGCGAAAATGCAGTTTCTTGGGCCCAGTCCCCAGAGATTCTGAAATAGTGGGTCTAGAGTGCAGAGCCTACAAATCTACATTTGAATAAGCATCCCTTACACTTTTAATGTTGGGGGAGGGAGGTGTGGAACCACAGTTTAAGGAACATTGTTTTACTTGCATGTTGTCTCTACCAGACTATGCCTATAGGATAGGGAATATGCGTTCTTAGTACCACCAATGCCCAGATCAGGCCTGGCACAGAATTACTGCCCAGTGAAGGGTAGCTGAATACTAAACACTAGGAGATGGGATTAGGGCTGACAAGGTTCCAAAAGTATCTGAGTACCATCATAGGAGATTTCCTTTTAGCTGGCCAGGTCCAGGAAGAGCCCAGGGATGTCAGGACCATCCCCAGGCCACACCCCAGGAGTGAACAGGACTTCTAACCACTGGAACTGCCTTCCCAGGAACAGAAAGCGACATCCGGGGTCACTTTCTGTTCTTGGGAGAAACAGGAAGGAAGGTGTAAGCTGGTGTCTTCAGTTGAGGACTGGTGTGAAAAGGTAGACATTAATCACTGTACAACCATGGAAAAAGCACCACCCTGGGAGTCAGAAACCTGGGTTCTAAATCCATTTATTTGTCGAGTCATTTCATGTAGTTGTGCCTCCACTGCCTTATCTATAAAATGAAGGGTCAAAAAAGGCCTCTGTGAAACCTCAACAGAAACAGAATACACGTATTAGCTAACCCTCACTGACTAGGTGGGCCATAGCTTCCTCCTGAGCAGAGCCAGAGCAATACATCATATTGCACCAGGGAACTTCAAAACAGCTCCCTCCTTCCCAAGCAGGGTGGCAGAAGTGTGGGAGGGCGACCCAGGCCACCCCTGCAATGGGCCTAGGTCATCCTGCAACACTCTCCAGACCAGTGAGTGTGCTCAGCATGTTTATAAGACTTCTGTTATGTTAACAGGCTCTGAAGATGAGAACATCTGGATGTGATCAAGCTCCAGCCTCCTATCAGTGAATCCCCCGGATGAGACATAAGAACCCAGAGACTGATTAAACAGTCAACAACCCTTGGCTGTGCACGTGCATGGTGTGGTAGGTTCGCTGGGTTGGGAAGCAGCAGGGAGGGCCAAAGATCCTCCACTACAAAGAACTTGCAGCCTGATCACGTGGATATCCACCCATGTAGGCTTAGACTCACACACTAGCACCAACCTGTGTGAAAACAGGAAGGCAACATGGTGTAGTATACTGGTTCTCAAACATGACTGCCCGTTAGACTCAGCTGGGGGCTTCACAAAAATCCCAAAGCCCAGGCCACACCATGGAGCAACTAATGAGAACTGCTAGGGTAAGACCCAGGCATCAGAATTTAATAAAACCTGGCTGGGTGAGGTGGGCAGATCACTTGAGGTCAGGAGTTTGAGATCAGCCTGGTGAAACCCAGTCTCTACTAAACATATCAAAATTAGCTGAGTGTGGTGGTGGGTGCCTGTAATCCCAGCTACTTGGGAGGCTGAAGCAGGAGGATCACTTGAACGTGGGAGGCAGTGGTTGCACTGAGCAGAGATGGCACCATTGCACTCCAGCCTGGGTGACAGAGCGAGACTCTGTCTCAAAAAAAAAAAAAAAAAGAATTTAATAAAATTTTTCAGGTGATTGCAGCCAAGTCTGAGAAACAATGATGTGGGGGAAACATCAGGGTTTGGGACCAGAAAAACCTAAATTTGATACTGCACTCTCCTGTGAAATAGCTGTGTGACTGTGAGAAAGTGACTTTACCTCCCTGAGCACAAATTTTCTTACCAATTAAGTGAAGGTAATAGTATCCACATTTCAAAGATATGAAGATCAGAGATACTCATCATGGTAGGTGCTCAATATATGGTAATAATTTGTGATTATCAAAAAGATTTTTTCACTCAACTTTACCAATGTACAACAATGCCATTTATAGAAAAGATGGGGACACAGTCCCTGCCTTCGAGGAACTTTCAAGGCTGAAAGGGGAGATAAAGAGGCAAATCAATTCAAGAAGGCAGAAGGAAGGATAAGCAAGCCAAAAGGAGACAGTAAATGGAAGCACTGGCCCAAGATGAGGTTTATCTGTAAGTGCTTCATGGCGAGCAACCAGACTGGAGCCAAGTTCTGGAAAAGGACAGAGTCAAAAATCCCTAGAAGTGGCTGGAGAGGAAGGGGTAAGACCTCTCATGATGACAACGACCAGGACATTTTGTGGTCATAATGCTATGCACATAGTAGATTCTCAACAAATGAATGAACAAGCAGATAATTAGAGAAGAGATTTCTCAAAACCTCAGATCTGGGTAGTAGGAAGGGGAGAAAAAAGGAGGGGGTGAGGACAGAGTACAGTGGCTTTGTATCTGCTGGTCTCAGTCTTCTCCCCTATGTTGCTGGCAGGAAAATGGGTGGAAAGCCAAGAATATTAAGAAAGCCAGATGTCTGAAACATACCTTCTCCTCTTACCCCATCCTCATGACATGGCCCATGAGTCACCTCCTCCAGGAAGCCTGCCCTGGCCTTCCCATCCTCAAGCTGGGTTAGGTGGCCAGCCCTTTTTTGTGACTTTTTTTTTTTTTAATACAGAGTTTCACCCTTTCACCCAGGCTGGAGTGAAGTGGCCCGCTCTTGGCTCATTGCAACCTCCAAAGCCCCAGGTTCAAGCAATTCTCCTGCCTCAGCCTCCCGAGTTGTTGGGATTACAGGCACCCGCCATCACGCCCAGCTATTATTCCTTTTTGTATTTTTAGTAGAGTTGGGGTTTCATCATGTTGGCCAGGCTGGTCTTGAACTCCTGACCTCAGGTGATCCACTCGCCTTGGCCTCCCAAAGTGCTAGGATTAGAGGCATGAGCCACCGCGCCCGGCGTTTTGTGACTCTTTTGTGCCCAACATCCTATGTTTTCCACTAGTACCACACAGATCAAGCTGCAGTCACCCATGTAAATATCCTGCTCCCAGAAGAATAGAAATTCCTTGAGGGCCAGGGTTTTTAATTCCAAAGCCAGCAGTGCCTGGCACAGAGGAGGCACTCAGTAAATTGGATGAATGAATGAATAGATGGATGGATGAACTAATGAATGAATGAATACAAATGAGTGAATAAATTAATGACCTGATGTGATTTGGGGAATTGCCGATTGCAGAGAAGAAAATTCACCTTGCAGTGAGTTAGGGAAAAGATGAAGCAGGACATGAACTTGAAACAAACCAAGTAAAGAGGACACAAGAGTTCTGCTAAACCCACTCAGCCACGTCAGCCCAGATCAAGAGGAGAGTCAGGTGAGTGGCAGCTAGAAGCAGAGTGGGGAACAGGAGAGAGGAAGGCTGAGTTGATTAAATGATAAAATGGAGATGACAATGGCATCCACCTCATTGGACTGAGCTAGGTGTTAAATGAGCAAATGTACCTGCAGACCTAGTATAATGCCGGGCACTGAGTAAGGTGCCCGGTAAAGGATGGCTAATATCATCATCATTTTCAGGAATGACTGATCTGAACAGATTCATGGCTAATTTAACCTTAAAGCATATTCAGAATAGACAAGACACAGAAGTGGCTTTGGCGGCTAAGTTGAGATGTTGAATTTGTGATCTAAGGTATGCACATGTGTGTATGTGTGTGCATATGTATGTGTGTATTATAATACATATTAGCCTGGCTGAGTTCCTAAGACAGAATTATTGAGTTCTTTCTGCTGATACTATCTATAAGGTAAAGGAAAGGTTGAAGCTGACTGATTTGTCTACTCATAACTTTATGAAAGAATAAATAAATCTAGTATTTTACAGGGAATCACCAGGAATGATCATATCCACCAGTCACTGCAAGGATGGATATAGGTGGAAGATGACCTGGACGAAAGACCAATCATTCCACACAAGACAGGGAATACTTCCTGAACAGGAGAGTCATTTAGCCACTTAACTTTGGCCAATGAGTTAATGCGGACCTGGATTTTATAATCAGTAAAATGTGTGGGTTGGAGAAGATGATCTCTGAGGTCTTCTTACCTGACACTGAAAGGAACACAGGGCAAAACAAAATCAGCACTGGATACAGCATCACAGGGTCTGAATTCAAGAGTCAGCTCTGCCATTTCCTGACTGTGTAATCATGAAGCTATACTTTCCCCCCTATTTAAATCTCCCTAAGCCTCAGTTTCCTTGGATATAAAATGGGGCTAATACAGCACTTTGGGAGGCCAAGACGGGTGGATCAACTGAGGTCGGAAGTTCGAGACCAGCCTGACCAACATGAAGAAACCCCGTCTCTACTAAAAATACAAAATTAGCCGGGTGTGGTGGCGCATGCCTGTAATCCCAGCTACTCAGGAAGCTGAGGCAGGAGAATTGCTTGGAGGCAGAGGTTGCAGTGAGCCGAGATCACGCCATTGCAATCCAGCCTGGGCAACAAGAGCGACACTCTGTCTCAAAAAACAAACAAACAAAAAAAACGGGGCTAATAACATTCACAGGTTGTTGTGCAAACCAAAGATCAAGAACGTGAACGTGCTGTTTCAGGGGAAAAAGCTGACTTGCTCCAAGTGTTCGCTCGGGTAACTGGAAGGTATGACCTCTGTCACAGGATGCGGAGCTGGGCTACTGCTGCCAGCAGAAGAGAAAGTCACTATCCAGCAGAAGGTCAAGAGGGCTCTCCCACCACAGTCTCTTCAATACAGACCAAAATACTTGACCTGCTGAGCTCAGCCTCCTTGGTTTTGCCTGGAGGAGCAAACAGTGACCTACCAATTAGCCAAGAGCTTCTGTAAAGTGGGGCAAAGGAAAGGAAAAAGAACAAAAAACAGGTGACATGTGTGTTTGTGGGCTGGAAGAAACGAAGCAGAACCCTCAGCTTCTTGCCACACATCCAGGCCTCTGGGACCAAGCCGGGGAACCAGCTGGGACCTCTGGGACCCAGGTCCAGGCCTCTGGGACCAAGCTGAGGAACACATTTGCACGTGCAGGCGGAGGGGTATGACGCGGGGTGGGGGCGAGGTCCTGCTTTCCAGGCCATTCAGTGTTCCTTCAGTTCTCTGAGCATAGAGGACAAGGAAGGTGGGAGGAGGGAGGAGAGGGAAGAGAGGGGTGAAGGAGCTTGGGGGAGGCTGGGAAAGAAGGAGGAAAGGAGAGGAGGGAGAGCAGCTCAGGAAGGCGGAGGAGGAAAGCCCTTTGCTGAGCTGAGCTGAGCCAGACGGGGTTACTCTCGGTCAGTGCCCTCCAGTCCCCAGCTCAGGTTTCAAGATCTGTCTTCTCTTTTGCTCAACATGAAAAGGAACCAGAGCAATCAGCTGCTTTAGAAGTGGGTGGAGGAGGCAAATGAAAAAAAAGGAGAAGTAGGGAAAATCACATCAGCATCCCAGGCCCAGATGGTCTTCTTCAATGGACCCCTGGGGTGGGGGTGGGGTGGGGCCTCCCAGCCTGCTAGGAGCTGTCAACTGAGCAGGGCCTGGGAGCGGGAGACAAATTCTAACTCGTGGTTTTAATCAGCCTGAGCTTGTCCAGCCTTACAAATAAGACCTTGAAATACTTCTCTGTTATACAAGGGCTGGTAACAAATACACTCCAGTGTCTTTATGGTATTTTTTTGGTGTTTTGTTTTCCTGATGCTCTGCTGTCTTCTTGAAGAATAGACGATGCCTGCTTCACCAATAGCTGAGCACTCTCTGGGAAGACCTGGTTGTTGGGTGCTGAGGAGAAGGGGTGAGGCGGGGTGATGCAGCTGCTCCTTCAGGTGACTCCTTAGAGCAGGGGAGAGTAGGCCAGGGGTGTGTGGTACACACAGCCTAAGGACACCCATGCTGTTCATCCCGGCCTGGGCTTTCCAACCCAGGAGACACTTCCTTCTCTACAGAGAAGGCTCACCGAGGGATACCAAGACATACCTGAAAAAACTCAGTTCCAGAATTTTCCAGTTATGTGGCCTTGGGAAAGTCAGTTAGGCTCTCTGAGCCTCCATTTTTCTGTAAATGGAGGTCTAGCTTCCTATACGTGTGGGTTAAGTTATCACTAATGACACTAAGTGTGTTAAGTACTCTGAATGCTGACTCACACATACTCCTTGAGAAAATACAAGCTGAAAATTAAACATGTTCAAAATAAATGTGGATAAAGTCATAGATGACAAGCTGTGAAGAATTCCCAAGAGAAACCAGGATATTTAGGCTTATGCTCCCTGAACCTTCCAAGGCATTAGGAAGCCAGAGTCTTCTCTTTCAACCAATGGGAATACCATAACTTTAGGAACCACACATTCCTTCTAGTATTTTACAAATAATATAAACTTGTATTAGTTCAACAAACTTCTGAATGGCTACAGTACCCAAAATACTAGTGTTGTGGTTCAAAGGGATAATATTTTTCTCAGTGCTCCTTGAAGGCAGGAGCTAGCCTATAACAAAAGAGGCGCTGTGTAACAAAATCCCTGCCCTTGCATTCTAAGAGGAGATGGCCAGAGGGTCGGGTGAGCAGAGCGGTGAGCCTCCAACCCTCTCTGCCACTCCAGAATCAGTCAGCACTGGAATCAGGGGTGGAACGAGACATTACTCATCTTCCCCCAGATTACTTTGCTAGTAAGGCAATAGCACACCTGCTATGATTTGAACGTGTCCCCCCTCAAAGTTCATACATTGAAACTTCATCACCAATGTGACAGTATTAAGAGGCAGGGCCTTTAAGGGGTGATTAAGTTATGTGAGCAGTGCCCTCACCAATAGCATTAGGGCCCCTCACAGATACCATGAGTTTCATGTGCGTCTGTGTGAAGAGACCACCAAACAGGCTTTGTGTGAGCAATAAAGCTGTTTTTTTCACCTGGCTGCAGGTGGGCTGAGTCCGAAAAGAGAGTCAGCAAAGGGAGATAGGGGTGGGGCCGTTTTATAGGATTTGGGAAGGTAATGGAAAATTACAGTCAAAGGGGGTTGTTCTCTGGTGGGCAGGGGCAGGGGGTCACAAGGTGCTCAGTGGGGGAGCTTCTGAGCCAGGAGAAGGAAATTCACAGGGTTAATCACTCAGTTAAGGTGGGGCAGGAACAAATCACAATGGTGGAACGTCATCAGTTAAGGCGAGGCAGGGCCTTTTCACTTCTTTTGTGATTCTTCAGTTACTTCAGGCCATCTGGGCGTATATGTGCAAGTCACAGGGGATGCGATGGCTTGGCTTGGGCTTAGAGGCCTGACAATGAGGACCCCTATAAAAGGGCTTGAGGGAGAGGCTTCAGTCCCTTCTGCCAGTTGAGGAAATGGCGTTTGTCCCCTCCTAAGGATGCAGCAACAAGGCACCATCTTAGAAGCAGAGAGCAGCCCTCACCAGACACCAAACCTGCCAACACCTTGATTTTGGATTTCCCAGCCTCCAGAACTGTGAGAAGTAAATTTCTATTGTGTATAAATTACTCAGTCTCGAGAATTTTCTTCTAGCAGCAGAAACAGAATAAGACAATACCCATGTCTTACTGAGAAGAGGGAAGGTGGGAGAAGTTACTGGAAGTCCCTAGAATGAGGGTTGAAGACCCTGAATGGTAACAATTCCCCCAAAGAGCCAGTGCAGCCCCAGAGGGAAAGGATGTCCTGGTCACACTGGCCAGGGCGTGGAAGGGCACAGTCAGCCTGGCTTTGAAGCTCAGAAGGAAATGGAAGATAACACTAAGACATAACATTGACCCAAATGAATTTTGGACCTGAACAGAATGAGAAGAAGAAACAAAGAACCAACATCAGAAAAAGCAAGAAGATAGCTGAGATGAAAACTCTACCTGAAGACCAGAGAGGCAGAAAAATGAGAGAGGACAGCTGGAAGACAAAAGGAGTGAAAAGAAGGTAAGAGATAGGAAGTATGAAGAAACAGAGTCCAGAAACAGGAAAGACTACATCAAACAGAAGGGGAAGAGAGAAAAAGAAAAGAGAGTTTGAGGCATTCAGTTCCCAAGGATGAGCTGGTCTCTCACTGAAAAAAGGGACCAGACACTTCAAACACCACACAACATGGGACTAGAATCAGCCTGCAGGGCCCTGAGAAGTCCAGGCACAAAAAGAACGGAAAAAGATGAGTTTACAAGTTGGGGATGAGATTCTTCCTAAGGCTGGTCTAGGGAAGAATTAACATACACAATGTATAAATAGTTTAATTTTTTTCTAACTTTTAAAATTAACAAAATTTATTAAGGGACATAGTAGTGCTTTGTGGGCACAGAAAAGTGACTCATATTTACCAAGCATTAGGCACACTATTAGCATTATTTTCCAGAATCTTTAAGAACAGCCTATAAAGAAACGTATTATTATTCCCATTTTTCAAATGAGGAAACAGATCTGGAGAATATCTTGCTCAGGGTCATAGAACAAACAAGTGGTAAATTTGAACCCAAACAGCTTTGACTGCAAAGCTTTGGTTCTTTCCACTATATCAGCAATTTAATGAGATGTTTTAAAAATGCTTCATCGTGATATTGGCCTCAAAAGCTGGGGATGGCACCTATGCTTCCTAATGTTGGAATAAGCAACATGGCAGCATAGTGTGGGGAGAAAATGCTAAGCCTAGGAGTCAGACCCCGATTCAACGTACAACTTTACTCTTTAATCTTGGACAACAGACATTACCCTTTCGAGCCTCGGTTTCCTCATCAATGAAATGGAGATAATAATACCAATTTGCCCCTGCTAGTGCTGTTTGAAGCCTTCAATGTAATAATATATGAAAAATGTAAAATGGTATCATTATCCGGTGCAACTTAGTCTGTTGAATAGTGTCGCACTGAGATTGCCTTTTGGTGCCTCAATGCAACAGTGACAAGAGGACCAGAAATGGGAAAGCTTTCAATGAGAAACAAACTGGACTCCCAAATTGCTCTTTGCCACCCACAGAATAAATAAACCTTATGCTGGAAAAGCAGGAGACACGCAACACTGTTCTTGATGTTAACAATTCAAAACTTTTTAAAGGCAGTCTGATATTTGTGGGGATACACACTATTCTGTAATCGAATGCAATTGTGTTTTCTATTCTTGTCTGAGTAAAGCTGATCTTTGATTTGATTTAGTTCAAGTAATATTTCAACATTGCAGTGCAGCGTTGCTCCCCACCCCCACCTGCTTACAGCCCAGCTGGGCCCAGGCCCTTGCCCTGGATGGAAATCAAAGACCTGGTTTCTGAGATGCAGCCTGGCTTTGACAGGTCTGGGAAAACTCATGGTAGTGGAAAGGTTTCCAAATATAAAATTCTAAGGCCTCAAATCAAAACTTTTGACAAGTGCATACATACAGAACGTGAATTGCAATCACCTAAAGATTTCAAAGAATTTCCATTTTGATGACATAATGTTGACACATGTATCACCAGATCTCCCAACAAGATGACACACTGGGGTTCCACAAGGACAGAAAATATAGTCTGAGGCTGTAACCTCAACTTTAGCAGCTGCCTGAATGGGTGAGGGGGTTCAGACAGAAAATGAGAAGTGGCTGTGAGTCACAGGATGTTCTTTCTAGATGGGCCTTGGGAAACATTCCATCGGTGCCTGAAGCCAGGAAGTGGAGTGAATCTGGCATTTCTTTCAGAAGCCCTCTTGTCTCCTTTCTCATCCCAGCCAGCCCATGCCCCATGTCCTGTGACTTTAGGGAAGCTTCTGGCTACTCAGAGCTGCTCTCTTTAGGATATAACAACAACAGAGCACGAGAAACTGGAATTCTGGTCCTATTACTGCCCCTTGCCAGCTGTGCTTTCTTAGGCAAGTTACTTGGCCTCTCTGAACTTCGGCTCCTTCATGTGTGTATCCCCTGCATTTTATGATGATTGTAAAAATGCAGTGAGCTTAAGAACAAGCCTGGTACCTATGCTGGGCCAGGCACTGTACTAAGTGCTTCCCCTTATTCGTCCATTAATTTGCCACAATAGTCCTGAGGGAGGTACTATTGTTATTCCATTTGAGGAAACTGAGGCACAGAGATGTATGGAATTATCCAAGGTTACACAGCTGATAAGCATCAAGCCAAGATTTGAACCTAGGCCATCTGGCTGCCAAGTCTGTTCTCTTAACACGAAGGTATATTTCCCAGGGAATATTTACAAGATGTTAATTTTCTACCCACTTCCCTCAACTCCCTGCCACAGCCAACTATCTTGCCATGTCACCAAAGCCACCCTGCTCCCTGGAGCTCACGTCTTTTTGATTTTCAAAAATCAAACCAGAATCAAAGGTCCACCCCACTGAGTCCTTAGTACTATCAGTAAATCTGACAGCCAGAGAGGCATGACCCTTTTCCCTAAGTAAAATCCAGTATAACCCTGGGGACTAATTTCCAAAAAGATTAGTCAGAGCCATATCAGAAAGGCCAAACAGGCTGGGCATGGTGGCTCACACCTGTAATCCCAGCACTTTGGGAGGCCAACGCACCTGAAGTCAAGAGTTCAACATGGCAAACATGGTCAGGAGTTCAAAGATGGTCAGGAGTTCAAATGGCCAACATGGCAAAACCCCGTCTCTACTAAAAAATACAAAAATTAGCCAGGCCTGGTGGTAAGTGCCTGTAATCCCAGCTATTCGGGAGGCTGAGGCAGGAAGAATTGTTTGAACCCGGGAGGCAGAGGTTGCAGTGAACCAAGATCGTGCCGCTCCACTCACTCCAGCCTGGGCAACAGAGTAAGACTCCGTCTCAAAACAAAAACAAAAACAAACAAACAAACAAAAAAACAGAGCCGGGCGCAGTGGCTCATGCCTGTAATCTCAACACTTTGGGAGGCTGAGGCAGGTGGATCAACAGGTCAGGAGTTCGAGACCAGCCTGACCAACATGGTAAAACCCCATCTCTACTGAAAATACAAAAATTAGCAGGGCAGCCAGCCGCCCCGTCCGGGAGGGAGGTGGGGGGCAGCCCCCGCCCGGCCAGCCGCCCCGTCCGGGAGGGAGGTGGGGGCCAGCCCCCGCCCGGCCAGCCACCCCGTCCGGGAGGGAGGTGGGGGGCAGCCCCCGCCCGGCCAGCCGCCCCGTCCGGGAGGTGGGGGGCGCCTCTGCCCGGCCGCCCCTTCTGGGAAGTGAGGAGCCCCTCTACCCGGCCGCCGCCCCATCTGGGAGGTGTACCCAGCAGCTCATTGAGAATGGGCCATGATGACAATGGCAGTTTTGTCGAATAGAAAAGGGGGAAATGTGGGGAAAAGATAGAGAAATCAGATTGTTGCTGTGTCTGTGTAGAAAGAAGTAGACATAGGAGATTCCATTTTGTTCTGTACTAAGAAAAATTCTTCTGCCTTGAAAAAAAATAAATAAATAAAAATTAAAAAATTAGCAGGGTGTTGTGGCATGCGCCTGTAATCCCAGCTTCTCAGGAGGCTGAGGCAGGAGAATCGCTTGAATCCAGGAGGCGGTGGTCGCAGTGAGCCGAGATCACACCACTACACTCCATGCACTCCATCCTGGGCAACAGAGTGAGACTCCATCTCAAAAAAAAAAAAAAAAAAGAAAGGCCTAACAAGCCAGATTCATGCCATGAACATAAGGGAAGTGGCAGCTGAGCCACTGACTCCACACAAAAGTGCAGCTGAAGGGAGAGAGAAACTCCATACTCAGTCGGGATGGCAGGCTGCTGCCCCGGATCTCTCTGCCAGTCCTGTCCCTTTCCGCCCCTTGACCTCAACAAGGTGATATGTCCTCCAAAGGGTTCATCTCCAGCACAGTGACAAAATGCCCAAAGATATTTCTTATCTTTTCCTGGCAAAATCCTTATAAGCTTCAGAGAGCTCCACAACCTTAAAAAAAAAAGGTATTTCAGAATCCCCCAAGTCAGGAGCCAAAGTAGGCCAGTTGCAGCCCTAGTCCTCACTGGAGAAGGCAAGATAAGGAACTCCAGGCCATGGCAGAGAACCATGTAGGCTGTGCACTATTCAACTCAAATCATCACAGTTCTCATGGAGAGTGCCATTCACAGGGACCGCGGTGTGTATGTACCCCCAGAAACGTGTGACTTGTCAGCCCTAGGAACAGCGTGAAAGCCATCCCTACCCGTTCTAGGCATATTCAGCAGGTCTAGAAAATGATCTTTGCGGTCCCACAAAACACTTACTGGGCTTCTAGAGTTAAAAGGTACTGGTGTGGCCATAACTTTGGACAGGGCAAGACACCTGCAGAGCTAAGATCTTGCTTGACTCAGAAGTTGCTGAGTTCCATGTACAGTAGAGAGAGGCTACCTGGCTTCCAGCCACACCATAGAATCCACAGCCCTGCCCACACCACTTGGGTCATGCCAGCTAAAAAAAGATGGAGAACTTCCCCAGATGCCCCACAAGTCTAGGAATTGTTTCCAGACCAGCATAAGCAATGGCAAGGCTGAGGGACTGGCTATGGGGGATGTAGCAGTGGACAAGAGCCTCGCTAAGTGTGGAAACGGGGAACAGAGGGAAGCTGGGGAACTTCTCAGAGGGGATGTGAGGACGCCCTATCCCGGGAAGGCAAGAGGCTTCAGCTCCAGCATATGCACTTCCCAACTATGAGCCAAGTAGGACGTCCCAACCACTGCAAGGAGGTACCTGCTCAAGAGGGGACTGTGTCCACAGTGCAACCTGGAGTTGAATGAGAGTCTGTAGTCCAGATTTCAGAATATGGGAGAGGAGCAGGCCTTGGGACCAAGTGGATGCCTGAGCGGAAATGTTCAGTAGGAAGCAGGCTAATGAACCCATTAGGTATCACTAAGCAATACATTTTAAGTAGCTGAAAAGGAAATACACAGTAAAAATAAGACAGCAAAGGGTCACCTCCTTCTCCCACCCAGTCATGATTCTCAGCAGCAACAACCCCATCAGAAAGGCCTTAGCTTGGGCCAGTCTGCTTCTCAGCCCACCTAAGAATGCCAGATTCACCAGAGAGGGGGCACAGCGATGGCAGGTGGCTTGGAGTGGGGAGTGAGGATGACTCCAGGGCAAGGAAGGAAGCTTTGGAAGGGGAGCAGTGCTTCTTGCCCCACCATGCCCTGGCAGGAGCAGATGCAGGTGGGGGCCTGAGGCTGACACAAGTTGGTAGGGGGCTCTCTTTTTAAAACAAGATAGTATTTTTAAAAAATCTTACTTTTGCAAACCTTACAAAAACATACCACTGTGTAAACATATTGCTAAGACCCCCAGAGAGGACCTTGAAAGGAGCTATGAAAAATAAAGTAAATATTTTTAGCTTCCCAGTAAATCTACTTTAGGCCTCTGGGTTCATGGCTGCCCTTCCAGAAAGCTCTGGGGGGCAATTTTGTGAAAGAAAGAAGGCCAAGACTTTTTGAAGAACTTCTGTCATCATTATTATTCGTAGGCTCTGTTGACCTGGGCTAACACAAGGGAATAAACTATATAATACAATTTTTTAAAGCACTTTTACTTGACCCTCACAATACCCTGTGAAGTACAGGTATTTTATTTTCTCCCACCTTCATTCCACAAAGATTCACTAATGGCTCACCATGCACCCACTACTGTGCTGGGGCTTAGGATGGAACCATGAGCAAGGCGCCCACCTTGCCCTCAAGGGGCTATAGTCTAGCAGACAGCCCACATCCTTGGGTAGTCCCAGGTGATCCCCCATCCAAGTACTGACCAAGTTTCTGGGCTGAAGCATTTTCTGGTTGTTTCACCAAAGAAAGTTCCAATTTCAAGGCAAAGAAACTTAAGGCCCAGAGAGGCCGAACAAGTGGCAAAGGCCAAACAGTCAGCCAGGAACAGAAGGGGAAGCAAAGCAACTCGAATTTATTATGTGTCAACTGTGGGCTATGAGCTTCACTATCAGTCATCCACAGACATCATCTAATTTAATGCTCAGTGACCCTCAGGGCAGCTAATCTTCAGGTAAACTCTGGGCCAGAAAGAATCAACACATGCCCAAAGTTCACACTTCATGAGGGATGCAGCATGGATTTCTTCCCAAAATGAATCTTAATACAAAACCCCACACTCACTCTTATACCAATGTTTTCCAATCTTCAATCATTTACAAACTACTCTCACAAGTTTTACCATATTCACAGAAAATGTTTCTTTTGAATTAACTTTAATTATATTTTTCCTGTTGAACATCCTCCTAAGCAATAATTTCCATGAAATTGCAATTGGATGTGGGTTAAAATTAAAAGTTCTCATCCACGTACTGCCTAAAATCATCCCAGATACCACACAAAACTCACCCAGAGAAACACTTATCTCTGCCAGTCTGTATCTCACAGAGACAAAATACAGACATGTCACTTTCCCTAGGGTTTCTGAGGATTTATCCAATTTTTACATCTGAGTTGCAGTCACCATAGGTATTTAAGATGAATGAATGCTTCTCACACTGCCTTGCAAACATTAATTAATTTAGCCACCACACCACTCAACTTGTGTGCCTGTACTCTGGTTTAGGAAGAAAATAATAAAATGTCTAAAAAGTTCCAGTGATGAGAAAAGTGGGTGAGGCACCCTGTAAGACTTCCTCCTTGGATTTCTTATTAGGATGATTTCAAGGATAATTAAAAGATTTGTCCACGGCTTAATTCCTGAAATGGGAGTTCTTCCCAGTTGAAAGATTATTAAAACAGCACAATAGAGCACTGTAGAAGGAGAACTGCCTGGAGCAGCAGGGGGGTTTAGCCGTGATTTATTCCCAGAATATCCCTTCTGTGGTTGTGTAGACTTGGGACAGTCACTTCCCCCTTCTGGGTCAGATTCTTCTCTAGAATAGAAATTCCATATGGAGAGGGGCCATATTTGTTTTGGACACCTCTGTGTCTCGGCACTTAGAACAGTGATTCGCATATAGGAGACGCTCAATATATAAGGGTTGAATGACAGAATCAACTAATTTATCTATAAATGAACTAACTGGTCTCTAAGGTCTCTTCCAATAAGTGGAAATAAAATGATGCTCTAGCCAAGGAAATCATGAGAGTATTTGAGTAGAGATCCCCATATCTACAAATCACCTGTGTATAGTCCAGCGAATTTAGCAGATGCAAGCTGAAGGGAAGAACAAGATAAACTTCCCAACTGGATCACAGAAGCAGGAGCCCAGTGGCCCAGCACTGATTACAATATAGGCCTGAGTGGTAGTGTCTACAGAATCAAGAATCACTTGAACCCAGGAGGCAGAGGCTGCAGTGAGCCAAGATTGCGCCACTGCACTCCAGCCTGGTGACAGAGCGAGGCTCTGTCTTAAAAAAAAAAAAGAAAGAAAAGAAAAGAAAAAGGAAATTAGTGGTGTTTTAAGGCAGTCTCCTCCACTAAGATCAGAAAGTCTGCTTGACAACTTACCCCCATCAGCCAGTCTATTTCAACTGCTGCATAAATTGCAAGGCAGAAGAACAAGGCCAGGTGCTCAGAAATGCATCACTGTCTTAGAAGAATACTGGCTCTCATTTATTGGGAATCTACTATGTGCCAGATACTACATTAGGTTTTATAGTTTACATTTCAAGTTAGCTGCTATTTTATAGTTGAGGAAAAAAGGGTCTACAGGGGTGGTTAGTCTCCACTGGACTGATCCAAGCTTCAAGTCTTTGTCCCACAGTTATCGATGACTGGAATGAGGCCAAAGAGAGTTGTTTATCACATCTCTAGATGACGAGAAAGGAGTATCAGATATAATACATGGCAAAATCAGAATCTAAAATGGTTTTGGGAGGATAGGATAGCATAGGGAATCTAAACATGTAAAACAGAAAAAAGACATTTTTCCCTTTAGTTCAAAAAGCCAACAATACAACAAAGAAATGGAGAACACGTAACTTGCAATTCTGCCTATTTAAAATAATCACAATTTTGTTTGAGTGCACATGGAATATGAGTCAACAAGGTGACGTGAATGCCAAAATGCCTAATACAATCTCAGACTGCATTAACGGAAATGTAGCACTCAGAACAAGGGAGGCAAAAATCCCTTCCTCCTCTGTGCCAGAATACTTTCATAATTTCCAGTAAACTTCAAGAAGCACACAGACATACTGAAACACAACCAGAGGAGAGGCAGAAATGGGGAGGAAAAACATTCCATAAGAGGAAAGGAGGCCATTTTGCCTAAAAAATCATGGACTTTGGGAAAACAGGGAAAGAAAAACATGAGAGCTGTCTTCGACTATTTCAAGGAAAACAGAATTAGACTTGTTCTCTAGAAAGCATAACAGGGTGGTGAATATTTTCTAACAATTAGAGCTGTCAACACCCAGAATGGGCTACTTAGTGAGTGGTAGATCCCCGCCCTGGGAAGGTGGGTGTGTGGTAAAGGAGGTGAATGAGGACAAAGCTCCAAACCAGATCAGCTTCAAGGATCCTCCCAGCCCTGGGAGAGACAGCACAGGAGGGCCAAGCTCATCATGCTGTGATGGGGTGTCAGTGCAGATAAACACAGGTCTCTAAGTGGGGATCCATACTGACATATGCCAGTCTCAGCTTCTCTCCGAAATTGACAAGAGTGCTATTCGCAATCAGCAAAAAGTTGGCCAGGTGCAGTGGCTCATGCCTGTCATCCCAGCCCTTCGGGAGGCTAAGGCAGGAGGATCACTTGAGCCCAGGAATTCGAGGCTGCAGTGAGCTCAGTGAGCTCTAAGGGCACCACTGCACTCTAGCCTGGGTAACAGAAAGAGACCCTGTCTCTAAAAAAAAAAAAAACTAAAAATAAATTTAAACAAATAAAATAAGTAAATAAAAACAAAATCAGTAAAAAGTTACTGATTTCCTGTAGGAAAAGGCAGTGTTTCTGTGCATTTCCCCCTATACTGAAGCCTGTTTTGTGCTGCAAGACAAGCAAAGAAAGAAAGAATTTAAGAAACAGCTGCAAGGCAGAAAAGGGGACATACTGCGTGAACAGAGAGATGTAAAACAAGCACTGACATAATAATACACTCAAAATCTAAGGGACCTTCTCTCCTCAGAGCTCTGCACACTACTGTAGGGTTTTTAGATACAGATTTGGCTTCTTCACCACTTAACTCATGTCTCCAGCTTCTCAAAGAAGGCCAGGCATGGTGGCTCATGCCTGTAATCCCAGCACTTTGGAAGGCCTAGGCGGGCAGATCACGAGGTTAGGAGATCGAGACCATCCTGGCCAACATGGTGAAATCTCATCTCTACTAAAAATACAAAAATTAGTTGGGCATGGTGGAGCATGCCTATAGTCCCAGCTACTCAGGAGGCTGAGGCAGGAGAATCGCTTGAACCCAGGAGGCAGAGGCTGCAGTGAGCCAAGACTGCGCCACTGCACTCCAGCCTGGTGACAGAGCGAGGCTCTGTCTTAAAAGAAAAGAAAAGAAAAGAAAAAGGAAATTAGTGTTGTTTTAAGGCAGTCTCCTCCACTAAGATCAGAAAGTCTGCTTGACAACTTACCCCCATCAGCCAGTCTATTTCAACTGCTGCATAAATTGCAAGGCAGAAGAACAAGGCCAGGTGCTCAGAAATGCATCACTGTCTTAGAAAGAATACTGGCTCTCATTTATTGGGAATCTACTATGTGCCAGATACTACATTAGGTTTTATAGTTTACATTTCAAGTTAGCTGCTATTTTATAGTTGAGGAAAGTAAGGCTGAGGGGTTAAATGGCTTGGTTGAGATGTCACCACTCCAAAAAAAATCATAATTCATATTCACTAAGTGCTTCCTATGTGCCAAATACTGTTTTTAAGCAATTACATGTTTTATCTCATTAACAGGTAAGAAGAAGTGGCTGAAAGGGTGCTAACTAACCTATTCACAAAGTCATGCAGCCACAGGGTAATGTATGCTAGCACTTTCCTCTGCACCACGCTGTCTCTTGCTACAGAGGTAAAGGAAATATCCCCAGCTGTGCCTCTGGTCAATCAGCAGGGGCTCTCCAGTAAATAAGGAAGGACTGAGGCTTTGATCAGGGGTTGTTGCTACCTTTCTGTCTCCTGCACCAGAAGAAACATCCATGTGCAAGACCAGGACCTGCAGGTCAAGGAAACAGCATCTCGATGGCCTGGCTGCACAGCCAGGAGTTGTCTAAGTGGACACTCCAAGCACAGCCATACCTCTCTCTGCTGTGAAGCAGCACCTCCTCCATGCCACCCCTAAGACAGCTTTGCTTCCCTTTGTCATCAGGTCCCACATTGCCCATTGCCTCTTTTACTGCCCAAGGAAAGCACAGTTCTGTAGCCTTAAAAAAAAAAAAAAAAAAAAAAAAAAAAACTCAAATCTGAGTCTGGTTTAAACTCTAGAACTTTATCATTTCTTCTTTTGCCAAATAGAAAACAAACTGGTAGGCCTTTCAGCAAAGGCCAGCCAACTCCATCCCTCCCTAAACACCAAACGGAATAAAAAGCACTTCCCTGGAGCAGTGGCAGCCATTGGTCCATGATGGGGAGGAGTAATTTATCACTGACATTGTTTAGAACCACCGGCGCATGATAATAATAAAATGCAGACCAGCTTTTATCGGCTTCATTATTGCTTCTACATTCTCTACAGACCATGCACATGCCATTACTGGCTGCACTCAGCCAGCTGCTCCCACCAGCCTCTGTCCCCTTGCCAGGCCACTGCCTGGAAGGCTGCTCTGATGCTATGGCAGCCAATGCCTCAGTCAGAAAATGCCCACTCCCCAGATACCTCCTGGGTGGCACACAAGAAATTGCCTGGATACTTACCAGATCAGAGGTAAAGATTTCACTTTTTAAAGACAACAAGTTCAAATGCCCATCAGACTAATTGAAATGATTAGGGGAAAATGAATTGCATTCTCTTTTTAGAAAGAAGTGCTTAACTTTCACTTATCCATATCAACTTACAACTGTAATTGCTCTTATATGCACAGAAATACTCTGTCTATAAATCCATTCACTGCAACCATATGGCCAACTTCAGAAAAAATGCAGTTGGCAGCAATCTGCACCCCTAGCTGTCCCTAAGGCCAAGTCTGTAGTATTCTTCCCTGGGGACTTTTCTTCTGTCTTCCCAGAGAAGATTAGTACATCACTGTCTGTGGCAACCAGCTCCCCTAGTTTCTTCACCAATGCCTCCTGGAGAGGGGCCCCACAGGCCAGCCACCAAGGAGAAAAACCCCTTGGGGAAGATCTAATGGGAACAAGCCCCAGACACCTGGGCTACTCTCTTTCCCTGGTGCAGGTCAATTTCCAATTATAAACGGATGCAGAGAAGGTTTTTACTTACTTGAGCTGGATTTCTTGATCTGCTGTAATGTTCTCAGAACTTTGCGCATGTCCTTCATGCTGGTGTCTTTCTGGCTGTATAAAAGAAGCCTCCGAGCATCTGAGAACAGGCGAGCCACACTGTAAAGGGTGCAAGAAAAGGCGAAAGGCTTTAGCTAGGCCAACTGCCTCTGCTGCTTTACAGAAGTGACTGCCAAGTGCATAGAACTCAGCCTGGCTCCCAGGTCCTCCACAGGCTGGCCCTAACCCACTCCCATGGCTCCCCACACCCAGCTCCATTCATCACCATGTTCCCTCCCCCACCCATCATCACTGCCCCAAATGCCTTTCTCCATTGGTCTACACACCCAAATCTTACCACCCTTCAAGGCCCGGCTCATCATGCATGTGCACACACATGCATGCACACACATGCCCCCAGGGCCAACTTATCCATGAACCACAGTAGGCTCAGTGGCCTGGGCCTGGGATACTCTTAAGGGCATATTAGAATGTTTTAATTTATTTTAAAAGCAGAATTAAAAGTTAATACACTAAAAATGTATGAATAATCATGAATCTGGTCTGGATTATATTCATCTTTATACCAATGCAGTCATGAAATATAATTTTTAATATTTGTGTATGGAAGGGGCCCATGGAGGCTACAAAGCCAGTCTAGGGTCCATGAACATGACAGTGTGGCCCTGCGTGCCGCAGCTGCAGCTTCCTCAGGATTGTCCTGAGCCACATCCCATCGTCCTTACTCCGTCCTAACTCACATCACGGTCCTGTGCATTTGAAGAATCCTCAATGTCTCATTTGGGGGACACTTATTATGCCCATACTTATGTCCAGGCACTGAAGCCAGGAGCCAGGAATACAAAGGGAAGGGGCAGCATCCTGCTTTGCTCAGGGAGCTCACACTCAGGGGAGAAAGACCTGCAGACATTGTAGTCTGATGGGGCAGTGACAGAGGTGAGAGAGGTGACCTGATGCAGAGAAGACAGAACTCCCCTAGCCTTGGCTGTCAGCTTCTTATGGGCAAGGACCCTTCCAGCATGCATCTTTGTGCCAGCCCCTACCCTCTAGCTCCTAGAGCCAGCCCATTCAGATGCACGTCTGCTGCATGATATCATTAACAACATATAGTATATTCCAAAATAGCTAGCAGACAGGACTTGAAATGTTCACAACATACAGAAATGATAAATACTCGAGGTGATGGATACCCCAAATACCCCAAATTCTCCAAAATTCTCCCTTCCCTCATTCTGCAGACTCTATCACACAAGCATTTACAAAAACAACTTCACTTAAATCCAGCCATTCAAAATTCTCCAGAGGACAAGAAAGGAAGGAAAAGGATTAACTGACAAGTTTGGAAAGAAAACCTGATCTGATACTTACATGGATTTGTTAAAGTTTCCAACAACTCCGGGAGCCTCCCCAGGAGTCGGGTAACGGAAACAGGGGTTGTTGGCATTACAGATAATCCCCTGAACCCAAGGAAGTGTTCCTGCAGAGGGCATGGCTTTATTTGGAAAATGGCCTGTTGAAATCGAGGAGTAGAAAAACACAGGGAGAAACATTAATTCCCTGAAGCGATTTTGAGGCTCCATTTATACAATGCTTCATGCCAAGTCTGTCCGTCCCATTCCCCACATCCCAGAGACCTGTCTCTTCTGAATAAAACTGACTCTCAGGTGGAAACTTGGCCTCACATGCCATTCTTAATCTAGTGGACATCATCTGTAGAATGGGGTTCATGATACCAGCGTTGGAGAAGTGATGAGAGGGGTCCTAAGCAGAAAGTCCCTGGCATCCTTAGTTCCTCTTTGACAGCCAGCCTCAGCTCTCAGACATAGAGGGGACTTGGGGATGCCCTAAGCCTATTTTTTCATACTCTAAGGAGGTAACTACGGTAAGATGAAGTGGGCTGGGCACAGTGGCTCGCGCCTGTAATCCCAGCACTTTGGGAGGCCAAGGTGGGCGGATCACCTGAGGTCAGGAGTTCAAGACCACCCTGGCCAACATGGCGAAACCCTGTCTCTACTAAGCATACAAAAATTCGATGGGCTTGGTGGCAGGCGCCTGTAATCCCAGGTACTCTGGAGGCTGAGGCAGGAGAATCGCTTGAACTCAGGAGGGGGAGGTTGCAGTGAGCCAAGATCGCGCCATTTCACTCCAGCCTGGGCGACAAGAGCGAAACTCCATTTCAAAAAAATAAAAATAAATAAAATAAGATAAAGTGACTGACAAAGAACACTCGCAAAGTCAGCTGGCGTGACTGGGAGTAGAACCCCCATCTCCATGGTCCCAATCCAAGCCTCTTCCTCACACCTGCGGTTAGATTGGAATTTAGCTCATCTCAAACCCCTCTGGTACTCTCCTCCATCTGCCAAACATTTGTCAGTTTCACCTCCTCTGCCAGCTACAAAGCTCCTCAAGGGCACCTGAAAAACACACAGGCTTGGGGTCTGATGTCATCTGTGAAGCTTCGGGGGTTTTGTTGTTATTATTGTTGTTTTGTCACTAATTAAAACAATGAGGCCCCATGCACTAGGTCATCCTCTTGCTCTCCTCTTTCTTTCTTACAATGAGCTTCTTACCAAAAGGATGATGGGACATATTTGGGCTTGGTCCTAGGATTCGGTCTGGCACAGTTTGGTTTGCGGCCGTAATACATGGATGCTGCTTATGAGGATCAAGATTAATAGGCCCTGGACGAGGGGCTCTTAACCCAAGGACCTGTTCAGGTATGGACAGAAAGGCCAGAGCTCCTGCTTCTATCATATTCTCAGGGCTATTTGTGACCCCAAAAGAGTTCACAGTTATCAAGAACCACAGCTCTAGGTGGTGAAGAACAAGTAGCTTCACAGGCTTTGGAGTCAAACCAATTGGAATTCACATCCAGTCCCTGCAGCTTGCTAAGCAGTGACTTTAGCCAAGTCATTGACCCCATACCCTCAGTTTTCTCATCTGTAAAATGGTGATAAAAGTACAATTAACTTCACAGAGCTGTGGTGAGCATCGCATGAGACCTTGCAGGCAAAGCGTTTTTGCAGAGTGCCTGGTGTAGGACAAAGACTCAACAAATGAGCCTATGAGGATTTTCCAGGCACTGTGGGAGTGAATCTACCCCAGCACTTACTCTGCTGTTGCCCAGCAGGAACACTCCTTCCATCTCACAGCTACCACCTCCCTCCAAAGTGGGAACCTTGTTTTATTCATCTTTTTATTTTCATGCAAATGGGCTGAGAAGTTAATCCAAAGTCAGGACTTGCTGCACTTTGCATTTCAATATAGGGTCTTTCTTTCTTTTCTATCCATACTCCAACCAGAGAGGCAACACCCAAAGCAAGGATGTGATAAGATCTGATCACTGTGGCCACCCTCTGCAGGGACTCTGGCCTATTGAACATTTACACAGTTAATCTCCCTATCTTCCTGTTAATAGTTCAAGGAAAACCAAACAAGGCCCCTTGCCTAAGTCAGCTGCTCTTCATTCAGGGAGATTTATGTAACCCAACCAAATACTCAAAGGACCAAAAGATTCTCCCCTTTCAATGCCAGGAGACACTGGCACTGTAGACAGACTGGCATAGGTGAAAAGCAGCACAGGGCAGTGATGGTGAAGGTATTTCAGGTTATCCCTTAGCAGGGGTGGCAAAGGCCCTTCCTTGTACGTTGTGCCCCATCCTATTTGCAAACAAAAGTAGGATCAGGACTAGGCAGTGGGTGTACAGGAAGACAAGTAAATAATATAATGGGCTCTCAGGACCCAGGGAAGTTTTTAAGACCTTGATAACTCTGGTTTGAACTGGGGAAGATTTACAGAGAATTTCAAACCAGTCCTTTGTTCCTAGGGACAAGACACCTCTCCAAGTTTCACCTTAACTTTTAACTCTGCTCTTCCAACTAGGTCCCTGGAGGGTGATGAGAAAAGAAGGTAAGGTTGCAAGAAGTGCATGGATATGGCCGGGCATGGTGGCTCATGCCTGTAATCCCAGCACTTTGGGAGGCTGAGGCGGGCGAATCACCTGAGGCCAGGAGTTCGAGACCAGTGTGGTCAACATGGCAAAACCCTGTCTCTACTAAAAATACAAAAATTAGCCGGACGTGGTGGCACATGCCTGTAGTCTCAGCTATTTGGGAGGCTGAGGCAGGAGGCTCACTGGAACCTGGGAGGCAGACATTGT